>NC_000012.12:30291247-30443943 GCF_000001405.40 Homo sapiens | reverse complement strand
TTATTTTTGTAGCCTGGGAGTCTAGAAAAAAGTGCCTGCTATGTCACATGGGCTCTAAAAGTATCTGCTAAATTAAGGATGAATATACTTACTGAAGTAATTATACCAGTCACATATATTAACTGAAGGCTTAATTCAATCCAATGTTAACCTGAGTACTCCCAAAGAAAAGCTTACTCAAACCGTTGATGCCTGACCTACCTACTTTAAAAAGATCTATGTCCCCCTCACAGGACCGCATAAGAATGGCATTTTAAGGCAGAAATAGAACACTTTGAATTACTGTCCTATTTTTAGCCCACAGGCTAAAATGGCTGGCAGGTCAAAACACTCACACATACCCCTGACACACATTTGCCACCCAGAAACACAGGATGTTGGCACAATATGGTCAGTGATGGTTACACGTTGTTCTGGGCTGGCTCTATAGCAAGCATGCTTCTTGGTTCTGACCCCTTTCAGAATCCCTGTCCCCCTAAACCCTTCTTTTCCAGGGAGCAAAGCAACTGGACAGAATCAGTACACTAAAGCACATGGAGAATTTATTAATAATCACGTCCTCAGAAATAGAAGGCATTTAAACAATAACAACAACAAAACAAAGCCCATCAGGAGAAACAAATCTTAG
Source organism: Homo sapiens (assembly GCF_000001405.40). NCBI lineage: Eukaryota > Metazoa > Chordata > Mammalia > Primates > Hominidae > Homo > Homo sapiens. The sequence goes on along the minus strand of NC_000012.12, from coordinate 30,443,315 downwards.
CATAAAGGAAATTAGTGCTCATGGTAAAATTGGGGGCATGAATGAAGGAGATCACTTGAGCTGGAGAATTTCTTGGTACCTATCAAAGTAAGCCAGTAAGCATTTATTCCAGCATTTTTTTTGGAATAAAAAATTACGGCAGTAATTCGTTAAATTGAAAAAGAACTCTTCTCTGATATTATATATATTAATTTGTAAAAAGCTTTGTGCTACTTCTAATTAACAGAAAAAAATTTTGTTTATTATTGGTAAGTTGTAATGGACAGTGGTAATGGACACTATAAAACATAGTTTGTGTTTCCCTGTGTGTACAATAGATATGCATTTAAAGGGAGGCCTATTTAAAATTGACTTTAATATATTGTGTAGTATTATTTTTTCTTTTTAAAAAGTTTAACAAGAAAGCCGTGTAGAATTTTCCTATTACAATTTTAAATGTTTCTTGTGAACATTTCAAACAGCCTATTATGATTAATAGTTATAAAGAATAGCAAAAGAATTTCAAAAATATAAATAAGACTCTCTAATACAAACTACAAATACTTTAAATGTACAAAGTAAAAGATTTTAAACATCTTAAGATATTTGTCACTGGATTTTATTTAAGAACTTTGTTCTACTGACTACAACATATGGAGTAATAAAATTTCTGAGAGTGATTCCATATGATTTGGATGCTTTCCCTTAAGTAATTTATGGTTCTGTAAGTAATAAACTCATTTTTAAACCTAAAAAACCAAACCCTTTAGAATTAGAAGGAAGAAAAAGTTATAGCTTGTATTACAAGACTTCAACTCAAATGGATGCAATAGGACATTGTATTTCTATGACTCATTAACATTGAAAAGCAAGGTGAAAAACGGAGCAAATTTATTTTATTTAAAAGCTGCAAGCTATCTTTGTAATTTAGATTATACTCTGAGTTTACAAAGTACATATTGGTACAAGAACGTCAAGTACATATTTTTAAAAAAGAGTACACCTCTTCACAAGAATCCTGTCATGTCAAGAGTGAGTATTTCTTTCTAATGTTGAAAATAAATCCCCAAGAACGAGTGTTTTGTGGAATGTTCCGCATTAACTCTGAGCCTATTATAGAATAGTACATTGATGTTCCCTTTTTATAGGTGCACTTTAATTTTTTGAGACTAATTACTTCTTTCGATTCTTCAAAAGCTGATATGTTTTTACAAAAGCATTCATGTGTCTTCCCAAAGAGATTTCTAAAGCGAATGTAATATACCCTACTATTAATAATTCATCCTAAGAATTAAGAGTGCAACTATAAACATGACTCTGGTCAGGTCATTATCCATGTTCCTGGATAGCATTTTACACAATGAGCCACATTTTACACAACTGCCCCTCATGAAGGTTATTAGAGAACAGCCCTCACCGGGGATCCGAAAGAGGCTTCTCTTCACATCCTCAGCATCACACCTTCTTGCCTGACTAAAGTATTTTCCTCACTATGGTGGGTGTTCACGTCCTTGACTCAACTGAGCGCTGAGTGCTGGGCAGCCACCAGGTTGGGAGGCACTTTCATCCTTGAGGTGGGTGACAGGTGAGAGCACAGCCAACCTCCCTGTTTTCTCCTTACTCACCGCGCCCTGCAGTGGACAGGATGCCCATGGCACTGACTGCTGCTTGGACCATGGAGATGGGAAGAGAGTCATAGAGCAATCAGCCTCCCCAAGAAGACTGATGTGCAGATTGAAAAATCACAGGGCTGTGTGTTCATCCTCTACCAGGTTCTTCAGGCACCAGCGCAGTCTTTATTTCATGAAAATCACCCCAGTTGTAATGACATATGCATCTGTGTGTTTACTGCCTTTATTGTCTTTGTCTCACTAGACTGTGAGCTCCATGAATGCAGGGAGCTTGTCACTCGTGTTCACTGGTGCAAGACTTGCGCTTAGGCCCAGTGCCTGGTGCAAATGTTTGCTGAATAAATCAATTAAGTGAATGAAGGTCCTGGGCCTGAGAGAAAGCTGGGTAGGAGAGTGGGAGAAACTAGAGATGGCTTTCTGGTGGGAAAGAGTGAAACACAGAGTTTCAAAGATGAAAGCAAGAAAGAAAAAATAAAAGTTTTAAAATGCATTTTGAGGCTGGGATGCTTGGTTATATATGTCACCTTGGGCAGACGCGGAAGCGCTTCCATCCTTAAAGAGCTCCAACTATAAGATAAGACAAATAAGTATTGCTCAGGGCTCTGAGCTCAGCCGTGGGGCTGGGTTGCAAAGATTCCTCCAGGTCTGAAAGCTGATGTTATGTGAGTTATGACACCCTGTAGTACAAGGCCACTAGGGGAGCCTGTGAGGAGAAAGTGGGGATTCTGTGGTATAAGCTTTGGTATGGAGAAGCTACTACTCTCCACTTTAGTGGGGAATGCAGATCTGAAAAGGCTGGAAGCAGGCCAGTGTTTCTCTTTATTTTAGAATATATATGTGCAACCTGATAGTTGCTACCAATATGGGAAAAGAAAGGTATCTTAACAATTTATATATATTCCGAATCAATAAATGTCTTTTTAAAAAATACAAAAAAAAAAAAAAGAAATATCCACTTAAGATCATGGCAAACTATCTAAATTCCACGAACCTTTAACCCAAACTTTGATTGTCCATACTGCTAATTTTCCTCCCTCCTCTCTAGTCAGATCAAATAGACTTAAAATATTTAAGAGAATATTTCTCTAAAATAACAAGTGAATTTGCCAAGCAGAAAATTGGGAAGTTAGGAAAAAATGTTTCCCTTAGGACATGTCTAGATTTCCTAGGACAAGAAAACTGGGGGGACAGCCCAATCGTGGATCTTGGAGATCACAGATAATGACAAAATTTGCTAAACAATGTATAGTCTATTTCAGCCTAACGGTTTTAGATGAAACTCAGAAACAATAAGGAACTAGACAGGGGGGTTTGGGGGCCTTTTCCATGGAAAGTGGTTTAGCTTTCAGAGAAACTAATTTAATTTTTAGAAAAAAAGCCCAGTGAAAACTTATTCCTAATTACACAGGGAAAAGGAAAAGAAATTATAAATAAAACATCTAATAATATACCTAGTAACAGTTTATATTAATATACCTATGATCAACTATGTGACTTCAGGAAAATTACTTTTGTATGCTTTAATTGGATGATTAGTTAAAAATAAAGGTGTTGATAACCTGACTTATCCTGTCTGATAGCAAACTTGTGTAAACAAGAGGTGAGATAATAATATATTCCGTGTGGCAGATATTACTGGGCTTGATTTTCCTTTTCTGGCTTGTGAGGATACAGAAGAACATTCTCCTGAGCTGCAAAGAGGTAAATCTCTTCTCTCGACACCCCTGTTAGGGTCTCCAAGGTGACCAAGTATAAGCCTGGCCGCCATCAGCACAGCTGCATATCTGGCTAATCAGCTGACAGCAGCCTTTCTCAATTCCATAGACTACTGCAGTTGAATTCCAGCTCCAGGCAAAGTATAACCTGGAAGCTCCTTGCTGTCGCTTTCTCTTCTTCCTCCTAGCTCAGCTTCCAGAGCATGGGGCACAGCTGAGAAAGCACAAAGATAGCACACACAGGTATAGGCAGATGCAGACACATACACACAAAGACCCAGACTCCAATACTGAGGTGAGAGAATCTTGGGTCAGGGTTAGAAATAAAAAAATTTAATGGTTATTTGCTAAGAAACCGAGTCACTTCTGCCACAGCTTAATAATTCTGTTTTTGGCTACATCCCTGATTAAGACCTGAACTGCCACAACACCATGCTGCAGAGGGGCTTAAGGGCAGCCCTCCCATGACACGAGCACAGGTCATATCTGTATCTCAAACGCAGACCTGAATAAAAGACGCTTTAACATTTTCTCTCTCTGCGGCAACAGGACAAAACTGAACTGGGACAGATCTCAACAGCATGGCTGCCAGCCTACACTTTACTTGGCTCAAGCTGGTAATTCATTTTGTGATTTTCATAAGCTCTAAAATTCACTGATAAAATTTAAATGAAGAAATGAAACAACTGGGAGACTAAAATGGAATTGTATACTCCATTAGTCTCTTAGACAATTCAAATCTTGCTTTTAAAAGAAAAAGCAAAAAAAAAAACCACACACACTTTCTCCCCCCAGGAGGCACCAATGACAGGTGAAGGCAGATTAAAATTAAAATATTTATAAAATTATACGACAGGATGCACAATTTTTCTACCACTTATTGTTGATTGTCGCATAGAAGATGGTGCCTTTGCTTTGTAATCTGAAATCAATAAGGAAAAGGAACTAAAAGTAATCTAGAGTTTTCCTTGGTGAAGATCCAAATATTTTAGAGCTGCATTTCCTGAAGGTAGCCAAATGTTCATCATACTTTATCAAACAAATATGGTGAGAGGTTTCTGGCTTACTTCATGACATGTAAGAGTAACAATAAAACCAGGAAGCTTTTATTTTAGCAGCTAAAAGGAAGAGAAAGATTTACTAGCATAATAGCTTCTGGACGAGCTACTATTAATAGTAGATTTGATTCCTGCTGTCTGTCCTGTATTCATGCAAAGCAAAATCTTCTATAATCAGAATATATCACATCTCTTTGGACAAGATCCAACTTCTTACTGTGAAACATATGGTTATAAAAGCATGGTGGATTATTTTGCTTCCTAAGAGGTGTTTAAAAAGCTACTTTCACAGATAACTCACTTGAAAGAATAGTTCACTTTTTCCATAATTAAATATACAGTAAACAGCCTACCTCTATTACTTAAAAGGGCAACTGTAAATGATTAGTACAATGTAGCAATGGATAGAAAAAGAAGCCCTGTGTTTAAAAATGGTGTGAACACCTGTGTTTCTATGAAGGCAGCAGACGTTCACATACGCGTGCATCAAGACATGAAAGATGCTTTGTAGCTTCGTAAAGGGACTGCTTTCCATGAAATGGTATCAACTTAAATTTTAAAATGTATTCAAGAGAGAAAACTTTCTATGGTCCACATGAGGCTTGAAAATATGGAAAAGATGCAGTGAGAACTCAACACAGTGATCACTAATTGGGAGTTATTTTTTCCTAGAGTATTTCTTCAGGATGGTAGAAACAAATGGGTTTAGCTGAAAAGCAGAGTAAAACTGGTTTTCCAGCAACACTTGTTAAATTATTACCAAAGAAAGACCTTGTCAAATATGGCTCCTATCTATTAAAAAAATGTGGCATCTACATAGAGATGATTAGAGTCTACTGGCCGAAGTTACTAAATTACAAAGTTACTGTCAGAATGAATTATGATAGATTTGAATGACTAGAAATTTTCAGTGATTCCAGGAAGACTGATAAAAATATTCCTCTTACTGGGTCACACTTTAATACCAAATACCAGATTCCTGATGTTGCAAATTAACCTAAGCCAATGTGGCTGCTTAAAGATTGCCACATCCTTTGTAAACACTGGGTCCCTTGTGTTTACAGCCAGATGGGATGTAACATTGAAAGTAAGCCATGGATAAAATGCAGCTGGAAGTGCAAATGTTTATCAGCAAGCAAGTACAAAGCTAGTTTTACACCATCTGCTCTTATGAGCTCAGAGAAGTCCTTCCTCAGGCTTATGGCTCTCCCACACAACTTTGCATGGCAGGCTTTCTCTGAGGACAGGGTACTACCCCAAGGCAGAACAGCCTATCTTCAAGTTATGTTGAGCTCAGAGCCTTTGTGAAGTGTGGGGACCAAATAGGGCTGAGTTCTAGCTCTGTAAGGCTGCTGGGCTTGCTGGGATCCTAGACCCTTGTCATTCAAGGATGATGGTGCTTGTACAGTCTTTCTAGCCAACCATTTATTTTGGCCACAGCTTATTTCAGCAGAGTATCATTATTTTCTAACAACCCTCATACTGAAGGACAAACTTCTGGTATGGATTTTGACAGCAAAATTGGAAGTGTCTGTGTAGGCCCTCAAAAGCATGGCCTCCTGAGCCGGGTACTTTTAACTGCTAACTAACCACTCCTAGAAGTAGGGTAAAGTTAACCTCACGTGCATGCAACACAAAGTTGACACTGATAAATCTTAAATTGTCACACAGACAACATAATGCCTCATTCGGTGGTTTTGTTCTTTCCTGTTTACTTTTGTGCCTCATATTTTCCTCCCAAGGCATCTGTTGAATTACGCTGCTTCTGCTCCTAAATGATTCACTGGAGAACTTGAAAACTTCCGAGGGAGACAAAATGATGAATTTGTGGAGAGTTAATAAGATGTCATTTTTATTTTACATGGGGGAAACTGTCACTTAATATATGATGAATAAGCTCTTGTAGATGAAATGTCCTCTCTACATGCTTATCCTTTATGAGTGGCTTGCAGTGTACCTTATTCCATCACAAGTCTTCACAGACATAGTTACTGCTGAGGCAAAAACCAACATGCACAATTCTAATTACAGCCTCTGTCACTGGTACTAACAAGTAATGTTTCTACCACTTAGAAACCAGAATACACATGAAATGCCTATGAATCCCTTTCTGGTTATTATCTTACACTTGCTGTTGACTGGTGAGAAATTCTCCGTAACTTTAAAATAAAAGGTTCAAAAGGAAACCCTATTAAGGTGATGTTGTTAAAGGAATAGCTCTGTGAAGATTTGTTTGGCTGTTGTTATTCCTGAAGGTAGAAATAAGGCAACTGAAACAAATTTTAAGTAGTGCACCGAAAGAGCCATTACAAGTATGTAAAATTTACCCACCCACTCTCATATATCTGAGTTAATACCTCTCAAATGATTCTGAGATGTATTTGATGACAGAGTCCTTATTTTGAGTAAACACTCTTAGTATGTTGTATAATGCTAGAATGCACTTTGAAAAATGCTTGTAATAAACCACTCTAGGCAGAATGAGATTAAAAGGAAAAGTTCCCACATAAGAAGATTCTAAAACCTCTCTTAAGAAACCACACATAGGCTCAAAATAAAGGGATGGAGGAAGATCTACCAAGCAAATGGAAAACAAAAAAAGGCAGGGGTTGCAATCCTAGTCTCTGATAAAACAGACTTTAAACCAACAAAGATCAAAAGAGACAAAGAAGGCCATTACATAATGGTAAAGGGATCAATTCAACAAGAAGAGCTAACTATCCTAAATATATATGCACCCAATACAGGAGCACCCAGATTCATAAAGCAAGTCCTGAGTGACCTACAAAGAGACTTAGACTCCCACACAATAATAATGGGAGACTTTAACACCCCACTGTCAACATTAGACAGATCAACAAGACAGAAAGTTAACAAGGATATCCAGGAATTGAACTCAGCTCTGCACCAAGTGGACCTAATAGACATCTAAAGAACTCTCCACCCCAAATCAACAGAATATACATTTTTTTCAGCACCACACCACGCCTATTCCAAAATTGACCACATAGTTGGAAGTAAAGCACTCCTCAGCAAATGTAAAAGAACAGAAATTATAACAAACTGTCCCTCAGACCACAGTGCAATCAAACTAGAACTCAGGATTAAGAAACTCACTCAAAACCGCTCAACTACATGGAAACTGAACAACCTGCTCCTGAATGACTACTGGGTACATAACGAAATGAAGGCAGAAATAATGTTCTTTGAAACCAACGAGAACAAAGACACAACATACCATTATCTCTGGGACACATTCAAAGCGGTGTGTAGAGGGAAATTTATAGCACTAAATGCCCACAAGAGAAAGCAGGAAAGATCCAAAATTGACACTCTAACATCACAATTAAAAGAACTAGAAAAGCAAGAGCAAACACATTCAAAAGCTAGCAGAAGGCAAGAAAGAACTAAAATCAGAGCAGAACTGAAGGAAATAGAGATACAAAAAAATCCTTCAAAAAATTAATGAATCCAGGAGCTGGTTTTTTGAAAAGATCAACAAAATTGATAGACCGCTAGCAAGAATAATAAAGAAGAAAAAAAAGAAGAATCAAATAGATGCAAAAAAAATGATAAAGGGGATATCACCACCAATCCCACAGAAATACAAACTACCATCAGAGAATACTATAAACACCTCTATGCAAATAAACTAGAAAATCTAGAAGAAATGGATAAATTCCTCAACACATACACCCTCCCAAGACTAAACCAGGAAGAAGTTGAATCTCCGAATAGACCAATAACAGGCTCTTAAATTGTGGCAATAATCAATAGCTTACCAACCAAAAAAAGTCCAGGACCAGATGGATTCAGAGCCAAATTCTACCAGAGGTACAAGGAGGAGCTGGTACCATTCCTTCTGAAACTATTCCAATCAATAGAAAAAGAGGGAATCCTCCCTAACTCATTTTATGAGGCCAGCATCATCCTGATACCAAAGCCTGGCAGAGAAACAACCAAAAAAGAGAATTTTAGACCAATATCCCTGATGAACATTGATGCAAAAATCCTCAATGAAATACTGGCAAACCGAATCCAGCAGCACATCAAGAAGCTTATCCACCATGATCAAGTGGGCTTCATCCCTGGGATGCAAGGCTGGGTCAACATATGCAAATCAATAAATGTAATCCATCATGTAAACAGAACCAAAGACAAAAACCACATGATTATCTCAATAGATACAGAAAAGGCCGTTGACAAAATTCAACAACACTTCATGCTAAAAACTCTCAATAAATTAGGTATTGATGGGACGTATCTCAAAATAATAAGAGCTATCTATGACAAACCCACAGCCAATATCATATTGAATGGGCAAAAAGTGGAAGCATTCCCTTTGAAAACTGGCACAAGACGGGGATGCCCTCTCTCACCACTCCTATTCAACATAGTGTTGGAAGTTCTGGCCAGGGCAATCAGTCAGGAGAAGGAAATAAAGGGTATTCAATTAGGAAAAGAGGAAGTCAAATTGTCCCTGTTTGCAGATAACATGATTGTATATCTAGAAAACCCCATTGTCTCAGCCCAAAATCTCCTTAAGCTGATAAGCAACTTCAGCAAAGTCTCAGGATACAAAATCAATGTACAAAAATCAAAAGCATTCTTATACACCAATAACAGACAAACAGAGAGCCGAATCATGAGTGAACTCCCATTCACAATTGCTTCAAAGAGAATAAAATACCTAGGAATCCAACTTACAAGGGATGTGAAGGACCTCTTCAAGGAGAACTATAAACTACTGCTCAATGAAATAAAAGAGGATACAAACAAATGGAAGAACATTCCATGCTCATGGGTTGGAAGAATCAATATTGTGAAAATGGCCATACTGCCCAAGGTAATTTATAGATTCAATGCCATTCCCATCAAGCTACCAATGACTTTCTTCACAGAATTGGAAAAAACTACTTTAAAGTTCATATGGAACCAAAAAAGAGCCTGCATTGCCAAGTCAATCCTAAGCCAAAAGAACAAAGCTGGAGGCATCACACTATCTGACTTCGAACTATACTACAAGGCTACAGTAACCAAAACAGCATGGTACTAGTACCAAAACAGAGATATAGACCAATGGAACAGAGCAGAGCCCTCAGAAATAATGCCTCATATCTACAACTATCTGATCTTTGACAAACCTGACAAAAACAAGCAATGGGGAAAGGATTCCCTATTTAATAAATGGTGCTGGGAAAACTGGCTAGCCATATGTAGAAAGCTGAAACTGGATCCCTTCCTTACACCTTATACAAAAATTAATTCAAGATGGATTAAAGACTTAAATGTTAGACCTAAAACCATTAAAACCCTAGAAGAAAACCTAGGCAATACCATTCAGGAGATAGGCATGGGCAAGGACTTCATGTCTAAAACACCAAAAGCAATGGCAACAAAAGCCAAAATTGACAAATGGGATCTAATTCAACTAAAGAGCTTCTGCACAGCAAAAGAAACGACCATCAGAGTGAACAGGCAACCTACAGAATGGGAGAACATTTCTGCAATCTACTCATCTGACAAAGGGCTAATATCCAGAATCTACAATGAACTCAAACAAATTTACCAGAAAAAAACAAACAACCCCATCAAAAAGTGGGTGAAGGATATGAACAGACACTTCTCAAAAGAAGACATTTATGCAGACAAAAAACACATGAAAAAATGCTCATCATCACTGGCCGTGAGAGAAACGCAAATCAAAACCACAATGAGATACCATCTCACACCAGTTAGAATGGCGATCATTAAAAAGTCAGGAAACAATAGGTGCTGGAGAGGATGTGGAGAAATAGGAACACTTTTACACTGTTGGTGGGACTGTAAACTAGTTCAACCATTGTGGAAGTCAGTGTGGTGATTCCTCAGGGATCTAGAACTAGAAATACCATTTGACCCAGCCATCCCATTACTGGGTATATACCCAAAGGACTATAAATCATGCTGCTATAAAGACACATGCACACTTATGTTTATTGTGGCACTATTCACAATAGCAAAGACTTGGAACCAACCCAAATGTCCAACAATGATAGACTGGGTTAAGAAAATGTGGCACATATACATCATGGAATACAATGCAGCCATAAAAAAAGGATGAGTTCATGTCCTTTGCAGGGCCATGGATGAAACTGGAAATCATCTTTCTCAGCAAACTATTGCAAGGACAAAAAACCAAACACTGCATGTTCTCACTCATAGGTGGGAACTGAACAATGAGAACACATGGACACAGGAAGGGGAACATCACACTCCGGGGCCTGTTGTGGGGTGGGGGGAGGGGGGAGGGATAGCATTAGGAGATATACCTAATGCTAAATGACGAGTTAATGGGTGCAGCACACCAGCATGGCACATGTATACATATGTAACAAACCTGCACATTGTGCACATGTACCCTAAAACTTAAAGTATAATAATAATAAAATAAAATAAAAAAAAGAAACCATCTCAGAATCTGGCAACTGTTTCCTATATCTGAAATATGTCATTTTTGCAATATTATAAACCCACTTCTTACACTTCCATTCTTGCAGAGATGAGAGCACTGGGTCACCATTGTCATCATGAGACATCATTATTTATTTAGAAAACGTTATTGCAATGTCCAGCTACTTGCTCTGCAGCAGCAGCAGTTAGTCTTTAATCTCCAGCAAAGAGTAATCACCTTTGTGACTCCACTTGGAATACTGTGGTGCTGAGGGGCTACTGTGGAGACACATAGGGGTTAGGTTCAAAGTCAGTAAATAAAGCAAACATCACACCCAGTCAAAAGTACTCTTGAAAGTCCTTTTAGACTGGCTCCATGTTGGAAACTGACATACCTATATCTCAAGAAGCCAAACCCAGAGAAATCATTCCTCGTAAGCGGGACAAATAGCTGTTTCAACAATTGAGCACTAATTGTATAGAGGCCATGTTGTATGAAGAAGGCTTATCTGTAAACACTAGAATCCCATTCACCACAGCAAGATGCTCACACCCTGAAGGCTCATGGGAACTGAGATTGCCTGAGAAGGACAAATCCACCCCTTTCATCTTCTGCTCTCTCCTGGACTATCGTCATTGAAGGCAATAACCAGAAATCTACCTACAGTACTTAGGGTGTTCCTCCCTCTCTCATCTTTTTAGTATTTCTTTTTTATTTCTACCAATCCAGTATAATTAATCTGTGTAAATATACCTGGGTAATATTTCAGTATCATTTTAATTAAATTTAAAAGATAAATATATATGTGTATATGTGTATAATCCAAGACAGGGTAAATCTGCTCAATTTTGTTTTATTCCTTTCCATACATTTTGTCATTTTGTTTCCTTTCTTTCTTTTTCTTTTTTTTTTGACAGCGTCTCACTCTGTCATCCAGGCTGGAGTGCAGTGGTGTGATCTCAGCTCACTGGAACCTCTGCCTCCCTGGTTCAAGCGATTCTCCTGCCTCAGCCTCTCAAGTAGCTGGCACTACGGGTGCACACCACCACGCCCGGCTGATTTTTGTATTTTTAGTAGAGACAGGGTTTCACCATGTTGGCAAGTCTGGTCTCAAACTCCTGCCCTCAGGTGATCCACCCACCTCTGACTTCCAAAGTGTTGGGATTACAGGCATGAGCCACCGCACCCTGCCATGTTTTCTTTCATTTCAATAAGCATTCAGCAAGTGACTACTATATGAAAAGAGTAAAGGGATTTGGGGCAAAAAGCTAAAGACTACATTACTTTGACTCTCAGAGACTTCAAAATTGATGTAGACACAAACAAAATTATAATCTGAGTAAGACTATATTAAGTATTGCAATTGAAACAGAATCCCCTTAATTATCATGTGTAACTCCTCTTAAAAGTTCTCTTCACTGTCATTGGCAATGGCTCTCTTAGTAATACAGGGCCACTGATCTTCCTTCATCCCACAAACTCATATGCAGTGCCAAGTGGGTGCAAAGTATTACTGTGCAAAATGTTATTCTAGGATCTCTGGGACATCAATGAGCCAAACAGAGAAAAAACAAATCCCTACCTCCATGGAGAACATGTTAACTGAGGTGGGGAGTGAGGTTTTTTAAGAGACTTGACAGGCCGGGCTTGGTGGCTCACACCTGTAATTCTAGCACTTTGAGAGGCTGAGGTGGGTGGATCATGAGGTCAGGAGTTTGAGATCAGCCTGGCCAACATGGTGAAACCCTGACTCTACTTAAAATACAAAAATTAGCCTGGTGTAGTGGCACACGCCTGTAATCCTAGCTACTCAGGAGGCTGAGGCAGGAGAATTGCTTGAACCCGGGAGGCAGATGTTGCAGTGAGCTGAGATTGTGCCACGGCACTCCAGCGTGGGCAACAGAGCAAGACTCTGTTTCAAAAAAAAAAAAGAGACATGACAAACAAATACTTCAATTATGTAATATGTTAAAAATGTGATAAACGGTGCAGGAGAAAAAAAGGCAGAACATGAAAAGGAGTATCTGGAACATAAGTAGGGATTCGTTGCAGTTTTACAGAGGGGCTCAAGAAGGGCCTCCTGGGAAGGAAATAATTCAGCAAAGACTTGAAGGAGGAACTCTTCAAGGGAAGAGTATTCCAGGTGGAGGGACTAGGCAAAGCCCCTGGGTGTGCTGTGCTTGCTGTGTTCAGGGGCAGCCAGGAGGCCAGTGTGGCTGGTGCCCAGTGGGCACGAGGTGAGGTTAACAAGTGATGGGACAGGGGAGATGGTAGGGAGGGAGTTGAGCTCAGACCACATCTGATTGTTACTGAAATGTCAGGGTTCAGTCTAGGTCCTGCTGCTTGAAGCATTGAAAGCCAATCACTGAGACAACACATATTGCCAGGGAAGAAGGATTTAATTGGGTGCTTCAGCTGAGCAGATGGGAGATCAGTCTCAAATTCATCTCCATGACTGAATAAAATTTGGAGTTTATATAGCAGGGGAGAAATGTAACTGCTTGCAGGAAAACAAGAATTAGGGAGGGGTAAGAAAGAGAAGTCGATCAACAGGAAGCAGGCGGTCAGTTAAGCAATCATGACAGGTGAGTGGTCTGGCATCTCATTGTCCAGATGCAGTGATATGGCAAATGTTTCAGTTCCTTGATACTATCTGGGAGACCTGATGGTTGGTTTCCTATGGAAGAAACTCAGATCTAAGACAAATGCAACTTTCTCAAGTTTTAAGACTGGGAAGTTCAATCTCTGTCTTTATTCAAAAGAAACAGTAAACATTAGTTCTATGGGACAAGTAGACCAGTTTCAGTCCCCCTACCCTTTCTATTTATCAGTCTCTCAATCATGGGGAATCTTTCTGTCGATCTTTTGGGATGCTTCATGCTGAGAAGGGACGTTGTGGGCAGCTCCATACCATGGGTAAGGAGTCAAAGGTTAATGTAATACTATAGTTTTCTTCTGAAATAGTCTTTCTCTCTCAGTCCCCCAATTCCACCAAGGGAAAATCATAGCAGGACCAAACTACTTACAAAATAAGCTTCAGTCCCATATATTTGGCCTGATTATCCACACAAAGTGCAGCAAGAATCATTGTCTATACAGGCCTGGCTTTGTAGGAACCTCTCAGAAGGCCATTTCAGTCAAAGCCCTGGAAGAATAACCAGTTCCTTCAGCTGTGTCCCATTATAAAAGAAAACAGGTTATTATTAAATATATGCAAACAAACACATTACCGTGAATTAATAATATTCACAAATAGTTTATGAATTCTGGAGAAATAAGGCAGAGAAAGAGAGAAATATGCCTTAAATTCTGTTTACAAAGAGTATACTCAATTGTTAAAGGCTATAAATAGCTTGAAAGAAAAAAATTCTTCAGACTCTAAAAAACAAAACAAAAAGAATCAGCAATATTTCAAACAAAAAAGTCATTTTTTAAAAATTGTTTCAGCCTTCCATTAGTTTAGTCCATGCAACCAACTCCTCCTCTGCTTCATATTGGATTAGCAATCTTTATGAACACATCAGCTTTTTAATTAGAGTCCTGAAAGTTTTCTCTCTAATCTTATGGCACAATCTCCAAAGTTATCAGAAAACTGCATTCAAGAGTCCTTTTCATGAGCTCCTCCAAGAGGCAAGTCTTGGAGTGTAGCTGATTATAAGTCACTTTTTGAGAGGAATCAACACTAAATGACAACCATAGATGACAAAAGTCTTAGGACATTCATAGTTACAGACAAAGTTGCCAGGGAAATTTAGTTATTTCTGTGGCATACAACAGTTTACCATAATAATCATAATAATTACTATATATATAAAGACATGTCAGAGTTTCCAGAATATCATAAAATCCACGTAACCCAAAGAAAGTTAAATATTACCTCATATTTGACAATGCTTCATGTATAATGGTAACAAACAAACCAAATATGTCTCTCTTGGGCTTCAGGGGAACTAATATCCCTAACAAAGTTAGTTTGAGCTTAAAAAAAGTGAATTTGGAACTTGAAATTTTGCTTTTGGAAAGTTTGTGAAATATCAAAGGTTTAATGCACTTGCTATCACAAAATAGAATCATAGGTCATAAAATATTCATTTAGCCAAGATGATAAAACAAAAGTGTTTACTCTTTAATAGAGAGGAGACTCAGTTTTCCAAACAGTAAGACCTAAATACAGCATGAAGCCAACCAAAGCTGGCTCTCCTCCCTTCTTTTTTCCCCTGCAGTTTACTCAAGGTAAACAAAAATCTTTTATTATCTCATTTATGTTACACAAAGATTTCGTTCAAAGAGAAAATCAAATTTTACCCTTATATGGCATACTACCAATGTTAAAGTTCATTTTAATGAAACTTTATAAGCAAATCTATCTAATTTGCATCAGTTTGACCATAAAGTAGGATTTCCATAAACCTTTTATAACACTTACAATTTTCTATTAAAGAGTAGATTGATGTTCCAAGAAAACCCTGTTACTCTGACACAGGGGGCCCAGATGCTGGCCTTGCATCTGTGTACTTTTGATATTAATGTTAACTTTACAGAAAAACTCTGAATTAATCTTATTCCTCAAAATCAGCCCTGACAAACTCATGTGTTCACCTATTCTGTAATAGTCCCTGGGCCTAGAGAGACTGAACAGTTTTAATTTCTGGCCCTGTGTCTCATGAAAACAGTTCATTTTGATTGTCACCTTTTCCAGGGTCTAAAGATGAGCTTTTGACTTGTGTCAATGTTCAATATTTAGCAAGAGTCAGTGCCGTTTCCAGACCCAGGAGTCAAAGCCCAGTAACTTAACAGCACAAGGATTAGTTCATAGGACACTTATATTGCAGAACTTGCTAGTATTTTCTCTAACATGTCACAAATTAAAACACTGATTTGGTGTCAAGTAGTCACTGGCTGCAGCACTTTCAAACACTGTATTAGTTAAATTATTCATTGCATGTGTTTCATTGCTAGTGACAGAACTGTGACCAAAAACATAAAGTGATAGGTCCTATGTCAAACTCATCAAAGTAAACAATGAACTTTTCTCTCCATTATTAAAAAAATGGTAAATGCAAATATCAGTTTTGAAAACAAAACAAAGACAAAATGAGAAGAAACACACAATTTCTTTTCAGCTATTTTTAAAAAGAGCATCATCACACATTTTTGAGATTGGTTTCTAGATACAGTACTGACAACTGTTTAGGTAACTTTTACCATTAGAATCTTCTAGCCAGTGGAACATGTTTATATTTTGTTTTCAAGTACACACATGAAGGCCCAATAGTGATAAAAGGCTTGGGATCAAAAATCACTGAAAAGTCTCATATTTTTATTGCTATTTAATCTAAGTGAATGTCACTTAATTTTGATAATGGTAAATTACAAGTAAAGGAGCTTGAGAGAAATCCAAGTCAGTATAATTTCTTTAAGGACAAGGCTAATCCTTCCTGAACATTAAAACTTTGTACCTGAGTCATAGATTTTCCTCATTACCCAAAGGAAAAGATCTGAAACCAGCTGAAATTATTGATTGAATTGAATTACCTTGGAAACAGACACCATTTAAACATTTTTATTCTCACCTACTTTTTGTTTTCTTTTTTTTCTTTTTTTATTTTTTTTGAGAAGGAGTCTTACTCTGTCACCCAGGCTGGAGTGCAATGGCACCATCTTGGCTCACTGAAGCCTCTGCCTCCTGGGTTTCAGTGATTCTCCTGCCTCAGCCTCCTGAGTAGCTGGGATTACAGGTGTGCACCACCACACCTGGCTATTTTTTTTTTTTTGTATTTTTAGTAGAGACAGGATTTCACCATATTGGTCAGGCTGGTCTTGAACTCCTGACCTCAAGTGATACGCCTGCCTCAGCCTGCCAAAGTCCTGGGATTACAGGCATGAGCCACCATGCCTTGCCCCTCACTTACTTTTTCAAATAACAAAATAATGTGCTATTTCTGTTCAGAACCTATAAAAATAAGCATTTAAAAATTTATTTATTGCCTGGAACCTTAAAGCTCTCCTAGCTCTATAGGTTGTCAGAGATGAGCAAACCCCATCAAATGTTAAATAGTTGGTGTGCTCTACCAATTTTGGGAGGCTTGACAAAGGTAGCTTAGGAATTTTAGATAAAATGAACAAATGATGAATTGTTCAAAATGCATAGGAAACAAAATCACTGTTCATAGAACCAAATAAAAGCCTTCCATTAGAAACTTGAAAACAATGGTCTTATACATGTATTAGAAGTAAAATCCAAAGGAGAACAAACAGCAAATAAATGAAAATTAGGAGCAAAGAACAAATAAATAGGAAACCAACCTCAAATTTTTATCCTACTAGATTTACCTTGGAGGCTGCAGTGTTATTCAGAGCCTAAAAACACATGACAGATATTTTGTTCCTGGTACACAAATTAAGGTCTTTAAGTCCACCAACACCACTATAGCTTTTGTGCAATTTAGAAATTTACTTCAGGCATGTGACTGATAAGTATTTTAGTGCTAGTAGTATCTATGCAAAACAGCAAAAACAGTGTGAAACATAGCAATGCAAACATGCATGTGAAATTTGACTCTGTGCTAAATATGGATTTATGCTTAACTATATTAAAAAGAATTTCCAAATTACCAATATGTTTCTTTATAATATTTCTTATTTTACCTTCATCAAGACTAAGAGCTTTAACTATGAGATATGCTAATTAGGCAAATTTTTCCAATTTTCTGTCAGGTTTTAAATAAAATTTTACTATCTAAATATTTTCAACTTTCTAATTTCTTTGTATGTGTATGATGACAGACACACAGAGAAACAGGAAAAACACTACATATGACTTACACAGACCATCTATGACATGCTTGTGAAATGGAGAGTTCCCTGACCCCCCCCCCAGCAGGATGTGCAACAGGGGTGTGGCTTGTCTATTTAGTCATGCCACCGCTCAAACAACTTATGGGAGGGGGAACACACAGATGGACAGGGCAGGGGCTGGGATGCTGAGCACCAGCCCCACTGCAGTGCCCGGTGGTGGGAATCTGTGACCCCTAGAACCCAAGTGGGCGAGTGTTACAATGCACTCTTTTAGCCTTTCCATCCATGGACAGTTTAAGTGTTAACCAGCTCAGTGAACCCTCTGCCTTTTTGCAAGGGCAGAGGGCCAGTGTGACAGCTTTTTGTATTCCAAGCTCTTGTCCAGAGTCCTGGAAGAATCAGGTCACACACAGACTTGAAGGATGGTGAATGTGGGGGTTTTATTGGTGGTGAGTGTGGCTTTCAGCAGGTTGGATGGGGAACTGGAAATGGAATGGAGTGGGAAGACGATCTTCCCCTGGAGTTTGGCCATCCAGTGCTGATTCTCTGACCATCCCCAGCTGAACTCCTCCTGATGTTCCTTCCCTTCTCTCCTTCTCTGCCACTCTTCTGCTCTTCTGTTTGTCTGCTTGTCTCCTGCTGCTGGAGCCTAGGGTCTGGGGATTATATGAGTACAGGATAGGGGGGCATGGTGGGCAAGAAGGCAACTTTTGGGCACAAAAACAGGAATGCCTGTCCTTATTTAGGGCCACAGGTTTCTCGGTTTGAGGGTGGGGTCTTTGCTGGGGAACCACCCTCTTCTACCCAGTATTTCCCTGTGTCCTGTCCATATCATTTGGACCTTCTTCTGAAGACATTTCTATTTTTTTATTTTACCAATAATTTTTAAGCCAGCTTTTAAATTAAAGATTTACTTAAATCATGTGAACTTAAAAATTGCTTGGACTTATTTATTTATGAGCACTCTTTTATTTATAAGCCATATTGGTATCCTATAAAAGCAACACAACATCCAGATGCACGTACACACACACATACAAACAAAGATCCAATAGCTTTTACTTCAGAATTCTAGCCATGAGACAGCAAAACAAACTCACTGGTCTATGAACATGTTCACATGGCCAAACTTTGTCCTGATAGAGTCCAATGAAGGATCCGAACCAGAATTTTGGGTAAAGCAATTTCCATGGTAGTGTGATTTGGAAAGGCAAACATCCCCAGACTCCAAAGAACACTGGGGGCAAACAGCATCACAGAAAAACACCACCTGGAACCTACTGACCAGGCCTAACTGTGCTTAGAACAGCAGCATAAAAGCTTGAATACATGGAACTCCATCCTACTTTCCTATTCAACAGCAAACTCCAGATTCCAATGAATATTGGGACCAAACAGTATTACAAAAGAATATCAGTTTATTGAATTCTAATTTCCCATGACTATATTGACAAATGCACAAACAAATAATTATCAAAACACAATCTCACTGCCTTAGCAAAAGACAAGCGCCAAGAGTACCCAAACTGAAGCAGTCAGGGTGCTTCCTCTCTCCATCAGTTGGACTTGATCAACTTACAAACAAAAATTCCTTAAAAATTTCCCAAGTTGAGAGGAGCTAATCCTGTTGTCTGGTACCCACGAAAGACATTCACTTGCCTGGACACACACACAACATTTACACACAAACCTCCATGAGTGTCCAAATGGAAACAGTCAGAGTGCTTCTCTCTCTCAGTAATTGGGCTTGTCAATTTGCATACAGAAATTCCTTTAAAATTTTTCCAAATTTAGAGGAGCAGATCTTGTTATCAGGGCCCACAAAGGACACTCACCTATCTGGATGCAGATGTCAAGTTTCAAAGGCTGTTCTTCCTAGGCAATTAGGAACAAGGTTGGGGCCAGCAGTGGTGGGGTTGCAGAGAGAGAGAGACCAAGACTCCCCTCTGGCCAAAAAAGGGTTGAACAGCTGCTAAGGAGGGCTTCTGAAACTCTTCTGGCCCACAGTAGCTGAGACACAAGGAAAGACTTTCAGGTCAGGGAACCAAAATCTGTTACTGAAACACCAGAGGTTCAGTCTGGGTCCTGTGGTTTGCTGCACAGAAAGCCAATTGCTGAGATAATATGCATTGCCAGGGAAGAAGGCTTTAATTGGGTGCTGCAGCCAAGAAAACGGGAGATCAGTCTTAAATCCATCTCGCCGACTAAAATCAGGGGTTTATATAGCAGGGAAGAAATGTAACTACATGCAGGAAAACAGGAATTAAGCACGGATAAGGAAGTGGAGTTGATCAACAGGAAGCAGGCGATTGGTTAGACAATTGTGATGGGTGAGGGGTCTGGCTCCTCATTGTCCAGATGCAGTGATCTGGTAAGTTTCAGTTACTGGATACTATCTGGGAAGCCAGATGGTTGATTTTTGGCAAAAGGAACTTAGATAAGACAAAGTAACTTTCTCAAGTTTTAAGACTGGGAGGGCTACCTAAAATATCAATTCTGTGGGCCAATTGGGCCAATTTTATGTTCTTGTTTGCCGTTGTTAAGCTTTTACTCTGAGAGAAATAGGAAGCCACTGGAAGATGTGAAGCAAAGAAGTGACACAATTTGATGTGTTATTCTGGCTGCTGTACTAAGAATAGACTGGAGAGAGAGCAAAAGGTTAGAAGCAAGGAGATAAATCAGGAGAGAATACAGAGACTTGGACCAGGGTGGCAGTGAGGAGTGAACAGATTCTGGATATACTTTGATGGGCAGACTAGACAATTATTTAGTGATGGATTGAGAGAAAGATGTCAAACATTTTGGCCTGAGCAACTGGTGGTATAGTTTTTCCATCAACCAAGAAGCCTGTGGTGGGGGTGTAGGGTCATGAGGAAGGACTGGAAGCACGGTTTTGACCCCGTGAAGCTGGAGATGAATCTGACATCCAAGTACAGATGCATTTCCAGCACTTTTATTTCTGAAAACCTTCAGGTCTCTTACATTTACTTCTAATTTTTTCTTATAACGTTTCAGGAAAAAAGGTAGGAGACCTGGAATCATCAGGGTTTCCAAGTGTAAAAAGTAGCACATACAGACACATACAGAAATTATATAATCTGTCTAAAGATTCAGAGTTAAGCACCAACCCAAATTTTCTTTCTTTCCTTTATGCTAGGCAGATACTTTTAAAACAAATGTTGTCTGGGAATTGTTGTTGGTGGGGTATTCTTCTCCAGGCATTTGGGTATGTCTGTTTTTTTTTTTTTTTTTTTTTTTTAGAGACAAGGTTTCACTCCTGTCACCCAGGTTGGAGTTCAGTGGTGCAATCTCGGTTCACTGCAACCTCCGCCTCCCAGGCTCAAGCCATCCTCCCACCTCAGCTTCCCTTTTAGCTGGGACTACAGGGTTGTAGCATCACACCTGGCTAATTTTTGTGTTTTTAGTAGAGATGGGGTTTTGCCATAATGTTGCCCAGGCTGGTCTCGAACTACTGGGCTCAAGTGATGTGCCCACCTGGGCTTCCCAAAGTGCTGGGATTACAGGCCTGAGCCACAGCGCCTGGTCTTGGGTCGGTCATCTTTACCTCTCCTTCATAGACACTTTAGGCAGCATATTTAAGGCTAAATAGAAACAATGTAAGGATCTGGCCATTAATCACGTCAGTGTCCAATCCATTAAGCCCTTTCCAATAGGCTTTCTGTGTGGTGAACTTGCTTTAGCTGCTTTTATCCTTAATTTTACTTTCCATGATTTTCTTAGGACAGAAAAGGGTGTGTTCCTTTAAATAGATAATAAATACATATTTCACATTCTCAGTAGAAATAGGAAGAATGGCTTTAAGTATTACAAGAAAAATCTTTTCACCTTTAAAACAGTTTTCAAAAATTCAGAAATATGGCGAGACTAAGTAATAATAGGTCCTTTTATAAAAATATGATGGAGCATTAAAAATAATAGTGACTTGAAAAGCCAATTCTACTTTTAAAATGTAGCAATTATTTTTGGCACACTGAAATTATAATACAGATTATGAAATCTTGCTGGGAGTCATAAAGAGTCAAAAAATTTTAAAAAAGAGCAGAAACTAAGAAAAAGGAAAAAAGGTGGGCTTTTTTCTCTTCATAATCCAATGATCTAATTCTTCCACCAATAATGTTAGTAACTCTTTAAGGACTCAGAATAAATATGAGGAGGCAACTCTAGTAAGTCATTTTGTTATGGAATACTTTGCCTCTGGAAAATATATTTATTCCAGGAAGGTAAATAGTAAATATTCAACTATTAAGTGATGTGGAAAAACTCTGCTGGCCCTGGATCAAAAGACAACCAGGTACCATGTTGCAGGTGCTGACATGGTCAATGACTGTCTGAGGCCAATGCACAGGCAGTAAAGGGGTTTATCAAGACAGTAATGAGTTTAGAAAGGCAAATTTATTCAGAGAAAAGAGGGAGATACATTGCAAGGGAGCAGTGGGCAAGATAGCAGAAAGAAGGCTGTCTACCAAGAGGCAGAGGCTGGAGGGGAATCTTATAAGGTTGTGCTGCTTAAGCTGAATGCTTGCAGACAGAATGCTTGGGTGCAGGTGGGCTGTGAGCGAGGTGCTGTAACAGGATGCTTAGGTGCTAGTGCAACTATTTGCGGTGACCTAATTAATCAGAACTTTCACTCCTCTCTACCCCTATTTTTGTTTCTGCCAGCTAAGCCCACTTTTTTTTTCTTTTAACTCCTTAGGGCTCCACAGCATAGTCTTAGGAAGAGGGATTAGTACAAGATCGAGCCTAGAGCAAGGAGAATAACTTCACAGATGACATATTAATAATCGACTAAAATAAATGCCTTGACAAAGAGTTTGCTCTCCGACTTTGCTGTTGAACAAAAAGTTGCATTTCTATTGTTTGTTTTGTTTCAACCCCACCACCTAGGAGAATGAAAAAAATCCAGCAAAGGTTGCAAGATGTTTTATGAACAACCACAAAAGAAGATGATGATTCATTCCTATTTCCTGCCTATGTTATGCTAAATTTCCAAACTCCTTTAAAATGGTCTTAATGTTTTCCTTCTGTATTTTCATGCTCAGGTAATAACTACAACATCCATTTTTAAGTAACTCACTGAATATCCCCATTCTTTGTTCCCCTTGATAAACATTTAATTTTAGTAGAGTGTTTTTATGTTATAGTCTACCCTTCTGTTATATTTGAAGATACTGACTTCCCAAACTATGCTTCAGTTTTAAAAATCTGAAAGTATGTTATTACCATTAGCTCTTATGACAAGAATTTAAAGAAGTTCCCTGTCTGTCACCTGAGATGGAGGATGAAGGGAGGTGGGGAGGATTAATTTTCATAAGCAACAGTTACATACACATAGATTCTGATCATGCCTAGCTCTCCAAATATACAGACTCAAAAGAGGTAGCCAACTTGATTTCTTTTTATTTTATTATTATTATTATTATTGTTTTTATTATACTTTAAGTTCTGGGTTACATGTGCAGAACCCGCAGTTTTGTTACATAGGTATACATGTGTCCTTGTGGTTTGCTGCACCCATCAACCTGTCACTTACATTAGGCATTTCTCCTAATGTTATCCCTCCCCTAACCCTCCACTCCCCAACAGGCCCCACTGTGTGATGTTCCCCTCCCTGTGTCCATGTGTCCTCATTGTTCAACTCCCACTTATGAGTGAGAATATGTGGTGTTTGGTTTTTTGTCCTTGTGATAGTTTGCTGAGAATGAAGGTTTCCAGCTTCATCCATGTCCCTGCAAAGGACATGAACTCATCCTTTTTTATGGCTGCATAGTATTCCATGGTGTATATGTGCCACATTTTCTTAATCCAGTCTATCATTGATGGACATTTGGGTTGGTTCCAAGTCTTTGTTATTGTGAATAGTGCTGCAATAAACATAGGTGTCCATTTGTCTTTATTGTAGGATGATTTATAATCCTTTGGGCATATGTCCAGTAATGGGATTGCTGGGTCAAATGGTATTTCCAGTTCTAGATCCTTGAGGAATCACCACACTGTCTTCCACAATGGTTGAACTAATTTACGCTCCCCTGGATTTCTTTTTATTAAAGTCTGACATTTCTACAAAATGGAGACAGGAGCCCTTCTTAGTATTCCTGGATTTAAGCTGTGACAATTTCATGATGATGGTGATGATGATGATCATTACAAAGACTATGGAAACAGGTGACAGGTATTCATTGCTCCCCATGTGCTGGTTACTGTACTGAGTGCTTCATGTGGCTTGCCGTGGTCCAGCCTCACATGATGGAGCAGGGAGGCTCGGTGAGAGGGCTCACACATCTGGGCAGCGGCAGAGCCTGTCCTCAGACTCAGGTCAGTTCTAATCACTCCCCTCCACAACCTTCCCTCCCCTCAGCCTTGGGAGTCTTGCACTGGAATCCACGCAGCTCAACTCCACATGCACACAGGGGCTGCCCCCAACATGGAGGGGACTGGTTCCTGGGCTCATCAGAGAATAAGTGGTGAGAAATCCACTTTGTCACTCTGGGGATCTGACAGGGGATGCCTGTCATGATAACATCAATTAACTGACAAACTAGAAGGGATCTTAGCAAGCAATCCTCCATTTCCCTCATTTTTCAGCTGAGGAAATGGGAACCCTCAGAGGTGAAATGACTTGCCCATACTTAACATCTCATTGAAATGGGAAGAACAGAATAAACAAACCAGAGACCTTGCTATGAATGGATGTGCAAAAAGAGACACAGAAGGACAAGGACCTGGGTGAATGGACATTGGCTAAATCATCTTTGCCATATTAAAAAATCCCCTATGAATTTATAGCTTCTCTAAAAATGTTCAGTTTTTAAAAAATGCCTTCTTGTGTCAAGTCAGATTCTCTCTTAGTCACTCCCAGAGTTTGTTCATACTTCTCCCACTTCTGACACATCCAATCACAGAATTCTCCCTCTCTGCCTGCCATTTTTTTCCTTTGGACTCCATTAATCCTGCCCCATGATCCCAGATACCCTTACTCTTCTCCTCTGACACATCGCAGAGTGACCTCAGGACCTGCACATCCCATCCTCCATGGGTCCACGGCAGAGCCTCTTGAGGAAACCCAACTGTAAAGTGACACGTTGGGTTTTGAATTAGATAGAGGAATGATTTGTAGACTTTTCTTCAGAATATGCACCCCTTCAAAAAAAAAAAAAAAAAAGGAAGGAAAAGAAGAAACAGCTACACTTCACTAAGTTCAAATGCAGTGTTTGGAAAGAGAATGATAGTGATTTACACAGAAGCTCACAAGAAGGTTGAGGGAAAAGCTGCTCAACAGGATGAAAGACAAAGGCTGCACAGACTTGAAGGTAATATATGTAGTATGTGATCAAACAAATCACTGAAAAAAAAAAGACTATGGAAGACTATGGATAGGAGAAAAAAAATGTGTCTCCTGGGGTGGAGGAGTTACTGAATGTTTTGAGCTAGGGAGCAGATTTTTTGTGTGAAGACAATTTCCTAAGATTTTCACCCTGACAATGAATCACTCTGCAGAGAACAGTGATGGGCCATCTATGGGAGGGAAGATGATGAATGTGTCCAGAAGACTTGAGGTGACTAAGGAACACTTGTGGAAACATTCGCTGACACTTTCCTAAGCTCTGCGTCTGTGTACTACTTGGCACTGTGTAAGGGATGGCCTAGCCCCCGGCTCACAGGTCCACAGCTGGGTTTCTGTCTTTCTCGCATGCCCACCTGACTCCTCACCCTCAGCTTAACCCTTGAAAACTTTCCCCTCCTGGTTTTTCTGCTTTCTAAATTCCATCTGCCCCTCACTTATGAGTCACAGTCACCACTCAGCTGGGTAATTAGTCAGTGTTAACTCATCTCTGAGCAGCAAAAAGCTAAATCCTCAGGGAGGATGGATTGCTTCCATCATCACAGCCCCTCCCGCATAGAATTCTCTGCTGAGATACAGGAAGGTTGAGACACAGGCAGGCAAATTCATGACCTCACTTATTCCTTCCCTCTCTCACTTCATTCCACTGACTATTACTGAGTACCTATTGTAGGCAAGGCACAGTGCCAGGCAAGAAAACAGCTGGGCCATTACCAACACAACCATTTTTTCTCATTAAAAACATCCAAAGACATTTGGTGGCAAATTTCATTATGGTTCATGCAAACATAAGGAGAATGAGTCCTGTAAATTACCAAGACATCCTGGACTGAGCTGAAGATGAATTCTCACAGAGCTGTTCTACACTTACGTGCTAAGATGGCCTGTGAGTTGTATTATTGTTGATTTGAAAAGTATCTCCATTTTATTATTGCTTTATATGTGTGTATATTTAATGTATTTTAAATCAAAAAGGTATTCTGCATGTAAAGGACTTTCAGCTGCTTTCAGTTCAAATGAACAAACACTTAGTGAATGTCTTAATTCATTCATCCAGCTGTGCACTCATTCAGCTAACTAAATGAATATGTATAGTTGGGGCTTATATACTGATTATCAACTCAAGTGTTGTTACTATGCCAGGCAAGGGTGTAAAACAAAGAAAACTGTAGACAAGGCATAGTTCCCATGCTAGGGGAAAAAAAGGGATGTCTGACTCCACATTCTGGTGGAGTCAGACATCCTTTAAGTTTACACACATATGTGACCTTCGATTATTGTTACATCTAACATGATAAATGGGAAGTGCAAAGACTAAGATGTGCAATGGATGTGATGGGACCAAGAAGGAGGATCCTCTTTGTTTCCTAATAGAACCTATGAGATGAGAAATCAAATCCCAGCTTCTTAGCCTTTCACATATGGCCCCCACCTTTCCAACTCTGTAATCTTTCGCTTCCATATGCGAAGCCTGTGAGTAAAGAAATTGGCTTCCTAATTTTACTCAAACATGTCACAAATATTTCCAATTTCATGTCTTTGCTTGTTTCCTATTCTTGTCTAGAGCGTCAGAAACATTGTAGTGATGATTCATTTAAATTCTACTTTTCCTTTAGGTGGCTGGCACAACTGATATTTATTTTTTTTGTCATTGTTGATGAATGGAATATTCTTTCAAATGTAATGTGTTACTGAATTCTTTCATTCTTCAAATATTCATTGAATGGCTACTGCTGTACATGTTACTATTTCTTCCAGGCACTGGATTTACAGTGCTGAATACAACAAAGGTCTGTCCTTGTGGAGCTTATATTGTAGTTGAAGGAGGCAGAAATATACACATAAACAAAATGAGTCAGGTGGCAATTAATGATATAAAGAAAAAGGGGGCAGGTTAAGAAAGATGGTGGGGGATGGGGAGTGCCATTGTATATAGGTTGGCCTAGGGAGGTACCTGTGCTAAGGTGAAATTTAAGAGAGATTTGTTGGAAGTGAGAGAGCAAGTTGGTAGCTATCTGGGGGAAGAGTGTTTCAAAACAGGCTGGAACATAGTGAGAAAGGGAAAGAGGGGTAGGAAACGAGAGGCTTAGGCTCTGGAAGGACTTAGCTTTTATTCAGAATGAGGTGAAGCCTTCTGAAAGTCTTGAGCAGAAGAGTGACATTCTTTGGCTTACACGGCAAAAAACAAACAAACAAAGAAAAAACAGTTCTGACTGTGTGTGGCTATAGGTTACAAGGAGGCTAGGGTAGAAGGAGGGAGAGCCATTAGGAAGCTTTCATGATGACATAGACCTGGACTGGATTGTGGGAAGTGGAGAGAAGTGTTCAGAGCTGGATGTATTCTGGACATATTTTAAAAGTAAAAGTCAGCAGAATTTGCTATTGGATAGTTGTGGGACGTAAGGGGAACAGGACTTAAGATGATGGCAAGGTTTTTAGCCTGAGGAACTAAAATAACGAGCTTGCTATTTACTGAGTTTTCAAGATGTTTCAGAATGTTCGATGGTGGTAGGAACCAAAATGTTTGTTCTGGATATGTTGAGTTTGAGATGCTCTTTAGACATCCATTCAGAGATGTCAGAAAGTTGTCTGGAAATATGAGTGTGCAGTTCAAGAAGTTCAAGCCAGAGACTGAATTTTTTTACTTGTAAGTATATAGATGATATTAAAGCCAGGTGACTGTATTTAATGCCAAGAGACATAATCAAGACAGTGAGATAGGGAAGGAAGAATTTTAAGGATGAGATTTTAGGGTACTCCAACATTTAGAGGAAAGAAAAATGAAGAGGGACCAGCAAAGGAAGTTGGAGGGGCGAGTGAGGTGAGAGGAGAACCAAGATTGACTGCAGCCAAGTGAACGAGGTAAGTAGGAGTCACCTCTGTCAAATATCACTCAGGCAAAAGAAGATGGAGACTTAAAATCGATCAGTGGGTTAGAAAATGAAGTGGTCACTAGAACCTTTGACAAGAACTTTGATGGGTAGAAGTGATGGGATTAGAAGCCTAACTGGACAGAGATCAAGAGAGATCAGAGGAAAGGTATGGGCGCAATGAGTACAGACATGTATTTTGAAGCATTTTGTAAGAGAGGCGAGCATAGATATAAGATAGTGGCTTTTGGCAGATGTGGGAACAAGGGGAGATGTTTAAAGATGAAAGATATTACAGTTTGGCTATATGCCAGTGGAGATGATTCAATAGAGTGGGAAAAATGGATGATGCAGGAGAAAGAATGGCCATTGCTGGAGTAATATTTTTGAGTAGATAAGAGGAGGTGGGTCTAGCACAGACAGTTTATCCACAGCAAATGGAAGGAAGGCAGAGTCCAGGGTTAGAGGCACAAGGTAATTTGGGAGATGTGGTGAGAATTTGTGGCTGATTTATTCTAATGTTTTCTATATTCTCAGTGAAATAGAAAACCCAGCCATCCACTGAGAATAATAGGGAAGGAAGTGTTTGAGATGAGTGAAGAAGGTGTGAGAAATAGTTGTCTATGAAATGAGAGAGTAAATTGACTAGAGAATGAGCAGAATAGCATGGCAATATCAAGGGTCCACTTAATGTAGGTGGTCATGAATTTAAACTGAGATTACCAAATGAAATTACAGTGATAGAACATGAGTCATAATTTGCTGACATATAGCAAAACAATGACATAAAAGTAGCTGGGTTATAAAAATACCTGGGATAAAGCATTAGCAATAGCAATGGATCTTTAAACATCCAATTTCAGGTAAATCTAAATTCTGTATTTTCCAACACAGTCTGAAATGTATCAGTAAGCCCATTTACAAACTGTATTGAAATGACATATACAAAAAATCTCAGCTTTGGAGCATGGCCTGAATACCAAAGTTAGTCAAGGTTACTGAACTGGAAAACTGATATAAGCAAGTAGCAGAAAGTTGCCACCATAGGTAAATAGGTAGCATGTGGAGGAACCAGTTAAAATAGTGAGAAGAGGTTGAATCAACTGGGCTGGCTAAGACTGAGACAGTGGTCTCACCAAAGCCCGGGTTGGACAGAGTGACAATGGCAATGCCCAGGGCAGTGGTAGTCATGGATAGATGGCCCATGGCAATATATGATCAGTGTCTGTTCTATGAGTGACTGTGTGGTCTTGATGCCAAACCCATGCTGGTATGGGCAGTAATGGTAGAATGAAGGGGATTTTCCTGTCATGAAGTCATGAAGGGGATGGAGAACATGGTTTTTGGTGAGTAGGAAATGAAAAGTGAAATGTGGTCTAGGAAAAAAAAATGATTAGCATTGGCATAGAGCCATTCACTACTCAATGTGATCTTAATTGCCTAAGTCCCACTTTATTTTCCATTTGGTATATTAAAACATGATGCTTATTCCACTAAATTTCATGATTACTTTTTCTGGAATTGGCCAAAGTATTCCAGAGTGATCTATTTGCAACAAAAATTACTGCTCAGTTTACTGTACATATCTATGACAGTGCAAGGGTCTGTCTTATCCATAATCTACTCCACATCTTTTTGGGGAAGAAGATGAGATATAATAAGCAAAAAAAATTTTACAGTAAATTTTAAGCAGACAGACTAAGGTGGCTGCCATGATCCCTGCCTCCTGTTGTTTGTGTGTTTGTGCAATCCCCTCCCCTTAAGTGATGAAGAGGAACTGGACTTGTAGCCTTTAGTCTATAGCAAAGGTGAGGGGTTATCATGTCTGTGATTATGGTACATTATTTAAATTTTCATGTGCTAGTAGGCTGATAGTGGAGATGCTCCCTCTTACAGGCTTCTTTTTTTGTGGGCACATAGAAGATGTATATATTTATGGGGTATGTGAGATGTTTTGATACAGGCATGCAATGTGAAATAAGCACATCATGGAGAATGGGGTATCCATCCCCTCAAACATTTATCCTTTGAATTACAAACAATCCAGTTATACTCTTTTTTTTTTTTTTTTTTGAGACACTGTCTTGCTCTGTTGCCCAGGTTGGAGTGCAGTGGTGCGATCTCGGCTCACTGCAAGTTCCGCCTCCCGGGTTCACGCCATTCTCCTGCCTCAGCCTCCTGAGTAGCTGGGACTACAGGCGCCTGCCACCATGCCCGGCTAATTTTTTGTATTTTTAGTAGAGACGAGGTTTCACCATGTTAGCTAGGATGGTCTCGATCTGCTGACCTCATGATCTGCCCGCCTCGGCCTCCCAAAGTGCTGGGATTACAGGCGTGAGCCACCGCACCCAGCCCCCAGTTACACTCTTTATCTTAAAATGTACAATTAAATTATTATTGACCATAATCACCTTATTGTGTTCTCAAACAGTAGGTCTTATTCATTCTTTTTAACTATTCTTTCATACCCATTAACCATCCCCACTTCTCCTTACAGGCTTTGAAGAAGTCAGCTGCCATGCTGTGGGATGGCCTATGGAGAGAGCCATGTGGTAAAGAACTGTGGGCGGCTTCTAGGTGCTGAGTGTTACCCCAGCTGACAGCCAGCAAGAAGTCAGGGACCTCCATCTTACAGCTGCGAGGAGATGAATTCTGCCAAGAACTGAAGGAATGCAGAAATGGACCCATCCCAAATTGGGCCTTCAGATGAGAACAGCCCTGACCAACACCTTGATTGTAGCCTCACAGAGGACCCAGCTAAGCTATGCCTGGACTCCTAACCCACAGAAACTGTGAGATAGTAATTGCGTGTTGTTTTAACCTGCTAAGTTTGTGGTACTCTGTTACACACAATACATAATAGCTCACATTCTATTTTTACTTTCTTGTTCAAATGTAAGTGTAAGAGAGAGATGCTTGTTTGACAATCTCTGTTTTTCTAACAGCTATCTGTGTGCTCTTTTTGTGAGTAGGTTGATGGGGGGTGTGACATGGACTGGCATGATGACAAATCATAACAAGGCTGAGAACAGGTATGAATGGAGATCCCTGAGACGATGCGCCCCTGCTTAAGTGAGGAGATGCACTAGCCCCACCCTACCCCATCCCTCCATTTTTACCAAATTGTCACCTTCATTGGTGATACTCCCATTGGTCAGGCTGCAGATTTGTCCCCAGGGGGACATGAGAACTAGGCTTGTTTTCCAGGTGCCAGAGCCTCAACTCATAATTTGTGTTGTTTGAGGGACTGATGTAAGAAAAGATGAATAGATAGATGGATGAATTGGAACAGACAGTCACCTCCAATAGGAAAAGAAAAAGCCTCCAAGTCACCCTGCCTGGGGCTGCTTCACTGCTTTGCATCCATGCACAAAGGACATCTTGTCGTGGTCATTACTAAGCCAGTCAGTTTTCTCTCTCACTCTTAACCCCACCCAAGTTTCTCCATTTACGAGCATGTCTCACAGTTGTAAAATAATAATAAAAATAATATTAAATCTCAAGACACCCTGTGAAAATGTAATGAAAATCCACTACCAAATACACTACCGATTAATAAAATTCAGTAATTTTTATTCCTGTGCTGGGAAGCTAAGTTAGAGGACATGGGAAATAGAGAACTATGCTATAAAAAATAGAACCAATGGCATTAATTCTCTTAAATAATCAAAATTTGACTGGTGATTTTCCTGATTTATGTCACTCTTTATTGTAAGCCAACATGCACAGTCCAGCTTGAATCTGCAAGAGTCATAAAGGAAACCTCAAGTGGATGTTCATACTACAGTCCTCCTGGGGCATAAACATTAATGGTTCATAGAAGAAAATAGAATTATCAGCTTTCACTGCTTAAATGCCTTTTATCTCTACTGTACATACATTCTGACAGAGTGATTACCCTAATCTCAAGTGTTGAGAACAAATTAGTTCATTTTAAAATTCATTATTTACAAAGGATTTAGTTCAATATTGAGTTTCTAAATGAACCTCTACATCACGTAAGATTAAATCCAGCCCCAGTGTATCCGGGGTGTGAATAGTAGTAGATGATGGAGAGGCATAGAATGTATCAAATTCTATAGTAGTCATAGTCTCACAAATAATTGGCACAGATTTTTTTTCTGGCAAATAACAAACTACCACTCAAGCCAGTTTCTTATGAAAAATAAAAAATCAGAATCAATTTCTAACTTTGTCTTGTAATTATTTATATTAAGTAACAAAATCTTGAATTCTAAATACTGACTCTTCTCAACTCTGTACAAAATTCTGGCAAATTCAAAAATCTATGCTTGCATCATTTACCTATATTAATCCTCCAACGTGATGTTTAAAAAGCCCAAAATATTCTGCAACCAGAACAATGTCTAATTTGCTTCTCAAACCTATAGAAATTGTGTTTGTTTTCAGTAAGTGTAAAAATGTATGAGACAAATGTTCCTTACTGGCCCATGGAAGGTAGGGTTTTGGGAAAGAAAGATAATGTACATGCTATTTTATGTTAATTGTTAATTGTTTTGTATGTATTACTCTGTAGCTTTATAAAACATAGATTATTTAAATATTAGTAAAAATTAAATAAATACTAAAACTAAACATAAATTAGACAAAGATTGCAAGCATAAAAATAAGGCCGAGCAGGTGGATCACAAGGTCAAAAGATAGAGACCATTCTGCCCAACATGGTGAAACCCTGTCTCTACTAAAATACAAAAATTAGCTGGGCGTGGTGGTGCGTGCCTGAAATCCCAGCTACTCAGGAGACTGAGGCAGGAGAATCGCTTGAACCTGGGAGGTGGAGGTTGCAGTGAACCAAGATTGTGCCACTGCACTGCAGCCTGGTGACAAAGTGAGGCTCCATCTCAAAAAAAAAAAAAAAATTGCACCAAAGTTAGGCATGAAGAATTGTTTGATTTTATCAAAGGAAAGATTTGTATGTCTTGCAGGCTCTTTATTAACTCAAAGCCTTTTTTTTTTTTTTCATTTCCCATCCCCACTCCCTGAAAACATACAGAGAGCAGTTAAAAAACCCCGAATTCTTTCTCCCCAGTCTTTTCCCACACCCTCTATGGCCTGGCCCCATCAAGAAAAAATATCTGGACAAAACCACCAACTGTCAACAAAGCCAAGGGTCTAGTAGGAAAGGAGGCATAGCAGGAGAGGGAAGAGTAAGTGAAGTTTAAAGAGATGGAGGCTTGGCCCTGCATGCCTGTGTGCATGCAGAGACACACACCCCTCACTCATACACTCCCCCATCTCTCTGACCTTATCTTTTTTTTTTTTTTTTTTAGATGAAGTCTCACTCTGTCACCCAGGCTGGAGTGCAGTGGTGCGATCTTGGCTCACTGCAACCTCCGCCTCCCGGATTTAAGCAATTCTCCTGCCTCAGCCTCCCACGTAGCTGGGACTACAGGCGTGTGCCGTGCCACCACGCTCGGCTAATTTTTTGTATTTTTAGTAGAGACGGGGTTTTGCTGTGTTAGCCGGAATGGTCTTGATCTCCTGACCTCGTGATCCGCCCACCTCGGCCTCTCAAACTGCTGTGATTACAGGCGTGAGCCACTGTGCCCGGCTCTGACCTTATCTTATACGGTTCTACAACATCTCACTCTGTTCCAGCCATTGCAGCCGCTTTTTCTGCTCTGCGAACATTCCAGCTCTTTCCTGCCTCAAGGCCTGGCTTTTCCTTTCTGGAATGTCCTTTACCAAATACTCACATGGCTCATTCCTTCACATCTCCACTCAAATGTCACCTTATTTTTGAGGCATTCCCTGACTTCTTCATAGCACTTATCAACATCAGACATATTCATTACAGAATACAAATATGTATGTAAATAAATAAATATTTACATGAATAAATACATTTATTATATATGTACTGAATATGAATATATACACAAATATTTATAGTCATTTATTATTTAGACTATGAACACCATAAGGGCAGACCCTTTCTTTTGTGTACTGTTTAAGTCCTATCAACTGAGAAAGTATGTAGCCTATTACAGGCACTCAATCCGTATCGAGTGAATGTGATAGGAAGGAAGAGTGAGACTATAGAGGACAGATTTCCCCTGATTATTAATCAAGATGAATTAAGTAAAACTGAGACTCAACACAAGGACAAAATAAAAGAAATATTTTGCACCCTTCTCTGAATTCTATGTATATCTACATGTATATGCTTGCTAATTCAATAAGAATGAGTTTTTCTAATAACAAACTGTTCTTATGTACTATTTTTTTTTTTTTTGATAAGGAGTCTTGCTCTGCCACCTAGGCTGGAGTGCAGTGGCACGATCTTGCTCACTGCAACCTCCGCCTCCTGGGTTCAAGCAATTCTCCTGCCTCAGCCTCCTGAGTAGCTGGGGACTACAGGCACATGCCACCACGCCTGGCTTATTTTTTGTATTTTTAGTAGAGATGGGGTTTTGCCATGTTAGGCAGGATGGTCTTGATCTCCTGACCTCTTGATCCATCTGCCTCAGCCTCCCAAAGTGCTAGGATTTCAGGTGTGAGCCACTGCACCAGGCCCTTATGCACTCTTTCAAAAATTAAGGATGTAGCTGGGGTTATAAGATCACTTCAAAGAAATTCTTACCAATATAGTCCATATATTACTTGGAAAACATTCTAGATCAACAGAGATGCAATATTACATAGGTGCTTTTGCATGTATCTCATTTGTTGTTCTTTTTTTCTCTTTTTTTGAGATGGAGTCTCGCTCTCTTGCCCAGGCTGGAGTGCAGTGGCATGATCTCAACTCACTGCAACCTCTGCCTCCTGGGTTCAAGCGATCCT
Organism: Homo sapiens; assembly: GCF_000001405.40. NCBI lineage: Eukaryota > Metazoa > Chordata > Mammalia > Primates > Hominidae > Homo > Homo sapiens. The sequence continues at coordinate 30,408,667 of NC_000012.12, read as the reverse complement.
CCTGCCTCAGTCCTCTAGTAGCTGGGATTACAGGCATGGGCCACCATGCTCAGCTAATTAATGTTTGTATTTTTAGTAGAGACAGGATTTCACCATGTTGGCCAGGCTGGTCTCGAACTCCTGACCTTAGGTGATCCACCTGCCTTGGCCTCTCAAAGTGCTAGGATTACAGGCGTGAGCCACCATGCCTGGCCTATGTTGTTCTTTTTTATTATAGAAAAAATATACTCTTAAAGAAAGACTTCTATTTTCATAAAAGTTTACTATTTATTGTCTCAGAGTTTGAAACCTTATTATCAGGGGTCCCAAACCCCCAGGCCATGGACTTTTATCGGTCTGTGGCCTGTTAAGAATGGGGCCACACAGCAGGAGGTGAGTGGTTGATGAGTGACAATTTTGGCGGAGCTTTGCCTCCTGTCAGATCAGTGGTGGCATTGGATTCTCATAGTAGTGTGACTCCTAATGTGAACTTCACATATGAGGGATCTAGGTTGCATGCTCCTTATGAGAATCTAATGCCTAATGATCTGAGGTGGAACAGTTTCATCCCCAAACCACCTCCTCCTTTATCCTTGGAAAAACTGTCTTCCACAAAACCAGTCCCTGGTGCCAAAAAGGTTGGGGACCACAGCTTGCTGCTTAAGATCCTGTCCTCAGTAACTAGTCATCATGAAGAAAACTGTCAGTTGTTCCTAGTTCAAGATTTTACTTACTAGCAGAAGAATCTGGCTTTTAAGAGCTGATTCCCTTCTCCCGTCCAGTGTGTAAAAAGACCAAGAAGAGAGAGAACAGGCCACAAAACCATGAGACAGAAGCCTTCTTTTTCTAAACTCTGAAAGAACAAAATAAATAGTCTAACTGGCCTCCAAGGATTGCCAGATGGATTAGTTAATGTCTGCAAATAATTTTTTTGATGAAAGCCACCACAGAAAAGCTAAATCTTACTATTACCTTAGCTGAAATACTTTGCTAATTTGTCCATGCTGCATTAAAGAATCTATAGAAAAAATTCCACACACACTAACTTAATGACCTTTGAAGGAGGAAATTTTCATTCATGCACACTGTGGAGAGGGCCAAGGAGTCCCTGAATGTGTGGTCTATTGACATCTAAGGCCCATATTTAACACACCTGACTGAGATGGAGGCCTATGGGGACTTGTTCCTCTCCTTAATTAGCTGGAAAGGAGTTAAGAAAAACCCTCACTTAGTTCTAGACCTACAAAAACAATTAGCCACACAAAAATAGAGAGAGACTTCAAGATCCCACTGACAACATTAGATCATTGAGAAAGAAAACTAACAAAGAAATTCTGGACTTAAAGTTGACAGTTGATGAATTGGACCTAGTGGACATCTACGGAATACACTACAGAGTACATGTTCCTCTTATCTGCACACGTAACATACTCCAAGATCAACCACATGCTCAGCCATAAAGCAAGTCTCAATAAATTCAGAAAAATCAAAATCGTACCACCCATACCTGTGGATGACAGTAGAATAAAAATAGAAGTCAATGCCAAGAAGTTGTATCAAAAACACACAATAGACCACTAGCAAGGCTAAAAAAGGAAAATGAGAGAAGAACTGAATAAACACAATCAGAAGTGACAAAGGTGACATTGCAACTGATTTCCCAGAAAGACAAAATGATCCTCGGAAACTATGATGAACACCTCATATCCATAAACCAGAAAATCTAAAGGAAATGAACGAATGAATTCCTGGAAACACCCAAATTTCAAGATTGAATCAGGAAAAAATTGAAACTCTAAATAGACTAATTTTGAGTTCTAAAATTGAATCAGTAATAAAAAAAACTTACAAACCATAAAACCACTCCCCCCCCAAAAAAACACAAGCCCCAGACCAGGAGGATTTATAGCCAAATTCTACCAGACATAAAAAGAAGAGCTGCTGCCAATTCTACAGAAACTATTCCAAAAACTCAAGGAGAAGGAACTCCTGCCTAACTCATACTGTGAAGACACCATCACCCTGATACCAGGACCTGGCAAAGACAACAAAAATTAAAACAACAGGCCTATTTAATATTCTTATGAGTTTAGACACAAAAATTCTAAATAAAATGCTACCAAAAAAATATAGCAGAACATCAACAAGTTAATTCACCATAATCAAGTAGGCTTCATTCCTGGGATGCAAGGTTGGTTCAACGTACACAAATCAATAAATGTCATTCACCACAAAAACAATTAAAAACAAAATCCATATAATAATCTCAATAGACACAGAAAAACTTTTGATAAAATTCAACATTCTTTCATGATAAAAACCCTCAACAAACTAGGCATCAAAGGAACATACCTAAAAATACATGAGACATCTATGACAAAGCCACAACCAACATCATACTAAATGGATGAAAGTTGAAAGCATTTCCTTTGAGAAATGGAACAAGACAAGGATGCCTACTCTCACCACTCCTATTCAACATACTATGGGAAGTTTTAGCCAGAGCAATCAGACAAAACAGAGAAATGAAAGGCAACCAAATAGGAAAATAAGAAATCAAACTCTCTCTCTTCGTGGATGATATGATTCTATACCTGGAAAACCCTAAAGAGTCTGCCAAAAGGCTCCTGGAACTGGTAAACAATTTCAGGAAAGTTTCAGAATAAAAAATCAATGTACAAAAATTAGTAGCATTTCTATACACCAATAATGTGCAAGCTGAGAGCCAAATCAAGAATGCAATCCCATTTACAATAGCCACACATACAAAAAAAAACTTAGGAATATGTCTAACCAATGAGGTGAAAGATCTCTACAATGAGAACTACAAAACACCATTGAAAGATACATATACAAATGCAAAAGCATTCCATGCTCAAGGATTGGAAGAATAAATATCATTAAAATGGCCATAGAGCCTAAAGCAATCTACAGATCCAATGCTATGCCTATCAAACTACCAATGCCATTATTCACGGAATTAGAAAAAACTATTCTAAAATTCATATGGAATCAAAAAGTGCTTCAATAGCCAAAGCAATCCTAAGCAAAAGCAACAAAGCTGGCGGCATCACATTACCCAACTTCAAACTATACTGTAAGTCTACAGTAACCAAAACAGCATGGCTCTGGTACAAAAACATATACACAGACCAGTGGAACAGAATAGGAAACCCAGAAATAAAACTACACACCTAGAGCCATCTGATCGTCAACAAAGTTGACAAAAATAAGCAATGGAGAAAGGACTCCCTAGTCAATCAATGGCGCTGGGATAGCTGGCTAGTTACTTGCAGAAGAATGTAAATGGACCCTTACCTGTGACCATATACAAAAATTAACTCTAGGAGAGTTAAATATTTAAATGTAAGACCTCTGACTATAAGAATTCTAGAAGAAAACCTAGAAAACACCATTCTGGACATTGGCCTTGGGAAAGAATGATAAGTTTCTGGCCAGGCACGGTGGCTCATGCCTGTAATCCCAGCACTTTGGGAGGCTAAGGAGGGCAGATCACTAGGTCAGGAGATTGAGACCATCCTGGCAAACACGGTGAAACCCTATCTCTACTAAAAATACAAAAAGACCTAGCCGGGCAGGGTGGCGGGCGCCTGTAGTCCCAGTTACTCAGGAGGCTGAGACAGGAGAATGGCATGAACCCAAGGGGTGGATCTTACAGTGAACGGAGATTGTGCCACTGCACTCCAGCCTGAGTGACAGAGCGAGACTCCATCTCAAAAAAAAAAAAAAAAAAAAGAAAAGAAAGAAAAAAGAATAAGTTTCTGAAAGCAATTGAAACAAAAACAAAAATTGACAATTGGGACCTAATTAAACTAAAGAGCTTCTGTGCAGCAAAATAAACCACAAACAGAGTAAACAACCTTCAGAATGGGAGACAATATTTGCAAACGATGCATCTGAAAAAGGTCTAATATCTAAAATCTATAAAAAAGACAATTTAACAAGCAAAAAACAAATAACCCCAGTAAAAAGTGGGCAAAGGACATGAACAGACACTCAAAAGAAGACATACAAGCAGCCAACAAACATGAAAAAGTGCTTGAGATCACTAATTATCAGAGAAAGGCAAATCAAAACCACAGTAAGGAACCATCTCACACAGTCAGAATGGCTATTGTGAAAAAGTCATATAATAACAGATGCTGGTGAGGCTGCAGAGAAAAGGGAACACCTATACATTGCTGATGGGAATGCAAATTAGCTCAGCCACTGTGGAAAATAGTTTGGAGATTTCTCAAAGGACTTAAAACAGAGCTATCATTCCACCCAGCAATCCCATTACTGGGTATATATCCAAAAGAGAAAAAATTGTTTGACCAAAAGCCATATGCACTTATATGTTCATTGCAGCATTATTCACAATAGAAAATACATGGAATCAACCTAGGCCGTCAGTGGTGGATTGGATAAAGAAAATATGGTATGTATACACCATGAATACTATGCAGCCGTAAAAATGAAATTATGTCCTTTGTAGCATCATGGATGCAACTTGAGGCCCTAATCCTAAGTGAGTTATGTAGCAGCATAAACAAAATACTGCATGTTCTCACTTATAAGTGGGAGATAAACATTGGGTACTCATGAACATAAAGATGGGAATGACAAACACTGCCCTAACACAGGGGTCAGATATGGAGGGGGCATCAAAAGAAAAACTACCTACTGGGTACATGTTTACTATCTGGGAGATGGGAGCCATACCCGAAATCTCATCATCACACAAGATACTTATGTAACAAACTTCCACATACTTCCTCTGTATGTAAAATAAAAGTTAAAATTATAGAAATAAAAATAAGTAGGACATAAACTTTGGGTACTCCTTAATGTAAAGATGGCAACGATAGACATTGGAACTGCTAGACAGCAGGAAAAACATGTAGCAGAGTGGCGAAGTAGCAAAGAGACAGTAGGAAGACATGATCCAACTATTACTTTATGCTATTTTATACTATGCTCATTACCTAGGTTTTGGGATTATTTGTATCCTAAACCTCAGTAACATGCAATATAACCATGTAACAAACCTGCACATGTACCCCCGAATCTAAAATAAACATTCAAAGTATAAAAAAGAAAAAAAGAAAAAAAGAAAAATCCTTACTGACATACCTATCCAGACTCCACTACATGTGCTCCTACAGATGAGTTTCAATATAGCAGACATGCAAAACCATGAGTGAAGGCCAGATTCTAATAATGCACATTCATTATTAACATTTCATGATGCTATCAAGTTTGGCTGTTTTTTTAGGTTGTACATAGTTCAGGTTAAAAAAAAGATGACTAAAGGTGACTAACATCCAATTGAACATAAGGTACTGTTAACAAAACACCAGGGGTTCAGTCTGGGTCCTGCTGCTCATAGCACAAAAAGCCAGTGATTGAAACAACTAGGATTGCCAGAGAAGAAGGTTTTATTTGGCAGCCAAGGAGATGGGAGATCAGTCTCAAATCCATCTCTCTAGCAGACTAAAATTAAAGGTTTATAGAGCAGAAATGTAACTACATGCAGGAAAACAGGTATCAGGGAGGGGTGAAGAAGAGGAGTTGGTTAACAGGAAACAGGTGGTCATTTAGACAATCATGGTGGGTGTATTAGTCCATTCTCATGCTGCTGAGAAAGACATACCCAACACTGGGTAATTTATACAGGAAAAAGGATTTAATGGACTTACAGTTCCACGTGGCTGGGGAGGCCTCATAATCATGGCAGAAGGCAAGGAGCAGCAAGTCATATTTTACATGGATGGCAGCAGGCAGAGAGCTTGTGCAGGGAAATTCTCCCTTATAGAACCATCAGATTTTGTAAGATGTATTCACTATCATGAGAACAGCATGGGAAAAACCTGCCTCCATGATTCAATTATCTCCCACCGACTGCCTCCCACAACATGTGGGAATTCAAAATGAGATTTGGGTGGGGACAGAGTCAAATCATATCAGTGGATAAGGGGTCTGGTTCCTTGTGGTCCAGATGCAAAGATTTGGTAAGTTTCAGATCCTTGATACTATCTGGGAGGCCTGATGGTGGATTTCCTGAGAAAAGAACTCAGATAAGACAGTTGCAACTCTCTCGAATTTTAAGACTGGGAGGGTCAATTTCTATGTTTATTCAAAATAAACCATAAACATCAGTTCAATAGGACAGTTGGCCCAGTTTCAGTCCCTCTCTTTCTATTTATCTATTCCTCAATCCTGGGGATTGATTTTCTGCCTGCTTCATGCTGGAGGGGTGTTGTGGGCAGCTCCATATCATGGGTGACCTCATGGCCACCTAACAATCAAAGATTAATCAATACTATAGTTTTCTTCTGAAAAACAACCTTTCTCTCTCCAGCCCTATACTTCCACCGAAGATAAATCACATCCAGACAAACCTTCTTGCAAAACGAGCTTCAGTCTCATATACCTGGCCCTATTTCACACACAAAGTGCAGCAAGAATCATTGTCCACCTTGGCTCTCCTAAACTGACTTTGCTACAACTTCTTGGAAGGCCATTTCAGTCAAAGCCCTGTAAAAATAACGAATTCCTCCAACTGTGTCTCATTATAAAAGAAAATAAGTTCTTATTGAGCTTATGGAAACAAACACATTGCCATGAATTAATATTTACAAATAGTTTATGAATTCTGGAGAAATTAGGCAGAGAGAAACATGCCTTAAATTCTGTTTACCAGAGTATAATCTATTGTTAAAGGCTATCAATACCTCAAAAGAAAAGAATTCTCTAGACTCTGAAAAACAAAACAATAAAATGTAGTAATATTTCAAGCTAAAAAAAGCTATTAAAATCATTTCCATCTTTCATTACTTCAAGTCAAGCAATCAACTCCTCCTCTCCTTCATATTGAGTTAGTCATCTTTGTGAACACATCAGCCTTTTAATTAGAGTACTGAAAGTTTTCTCTCTAATCTTATGGCACAATCTCCAAAGTAATCATAAATCTGCATTCAAGTCCTTTTCACGAGCTTCCCCAAAGAAGCAAGCCCTGGATTGTAGCTGATTATAAGTCACTCTTTGAGAGGAATCAACACTAAACAACAATTGTGGATGATAAAAGTCTTATGGCAGCCATAGTTAAAGACACAGTTGCCAAGGAAATTTGGTTATTTCTGTGGCATGCAACAATTTACCATAATAATTATAATAATTACTGATATATATTAAAACATATCAGAATTTCTGGAACATTATACAATCTTGGAACACATGTTAACAACACATCTATCTAAATATAACCCCCAAAAAGGTAAATACCATCTCACATTTGACAATGTTACCTGTATAATTCTAAAATACCAAATAAGCCTAATATGTCTCTTTTGAACTTAAGGGGACCTAATATCCAAAAAATGTTAGTTTGAGGTCAAAAAGACCAAATTTGGAACTTAAAATTTTGCTTTTGGAAAGTTTGTCAAATATGAAAGGGTTAAGACACTTGACATTACAAAAATAGATAATACATCACTATAAAATAGTCATTTATTTAGCCAAAGTGATAAAACAAAAATGTTTACTGTTTGATAGAGAGAAGACTTAGTTTCCTAAACACTAAGACTTAATAAAGACAGCATGAGGCCAACCACATCTGTGTCTCCTCCCTCCATCTTTTCCCTGCAGTTTGTTCAAAAGATAAACAAATATATTTTATTATCTCATTAATATACAAAAGCTTTGTTCAAAAGAGAAAGCCAAATTATACTTTTGGATGGTGTATTATTAAGGGTAAAGCTAATTTTAATGACACCTTATAAGAAATCCTATCTAATTTTGATCAGTTTGGCCAACCACAAAGTAAGATTTCCAAAAACCTTTTAAATATTTTACAATTTTCTATTAAAGAGCAGGTCATTGCTGCAAGAAAATCCTCTTATTCCAACACAGGGGCCCAAATACTGACCTTGAAGCAGTGTGCTCTTGATATTAAGTTTGATTTATAGAAAAACTCTGCACTAGTCTTGTTAGAGTAGGCAGATAGACAGACATGAGCAGGAAAGGCAGCCCTGTGAAAGGGAGGCTCTGGGAAAAGAATCTCTGGGGTTGCAACCCACTGAGAGTCTGCAAAATACAAGGACTCCAAAGGCTACATCTGGCTTTGTGCTTGGGCTTATCTAGCCCTGACTGGGACTGCAGGCCCTTGCTGCAGATAAGCATGGTAGGGACTTTACCTCCTGAAAATAATGCACAATACTCAAATAACTCACCCTAGAGTGGCCTTTTGCTCATTATAATAGTAAAAAATACACCCATGGGTGGAGATTTAAGATGCTACTGAGACATGCAACATGTGTACTAGCATGTATGGCCATAACACATGTGTGCCAGGGGACCATGCAAAACATGCTTGGTAGTAACACTCTTTTCATGAATAATCATGTTTAAGACCCCAACAGAGGGGCTTCCTCAATGTTGGCCAACGTTGGCTCATTCTCTCAAGCACCCTGCTCTGCCTTGTCTTTCAGAGAAGGTTCCTTTATTTCATAGTGTCACTTGAAATAAATTCTGCTACTACTTAAGCTTTGTTGCATGTCTCTTGGCTGAATTCTATCTTCCGAGAAGATAAGAACTAAGGACTCCACACTTCCTGGAAACATATTTTGGTGTCATGACTGATTGCCTAACCTGTGAACTGTTCTGCAGGGTAAGTGCTATGGTGGTCCCAGACTACCTGGTTGACTACCTCTGCTTCTTTGCTTTACTAAAGATTAGAGAAAAACCTCCTACTCCTAATGCCATTCTTGCTGTTTTAAGGCAAGCCTTTTTTTTTTTTTTCTCTCTCATTTACTTGCAAATCTCCAGGACAATTCTCTCAGTCATTGTGACTTTGCTCCCTACGTTGGATTTCTCAGGTCACCCTGACAGGTGACAAGCAGAGTTGGGAGGGCTTCCAGGTCCACACCATGTAGTCTAAGTCAGTGGGCCCTCCCTTGAACTCTACATTAATTTTTCCCCAGTAATAAAGTTAGGCATTGTCCTTTCTCTTGTCTTTTGGTTCTTTACCTGATCCCCTCGAGTTGGGATTTAATTTCTTTTTATATTTGCACATATGGGGCTCAAAGGCATACATGGGACAGACTCGTTATTTGATCTATTTCTTCATTTTAAAACAGGATGGTAAACCAAATTCAGGAAGTATTTTCCAGGTCCCTTGCCCTTTAGGCCCTTTGTCCTTCACAGATCTCAGGACACCCCAGTTATATTCTTACTTTACTGGCACACTTGTATCTGGAGACTTTTGTCCATTCTGCCCTTTTATCTCTGATCCACCAGGTTGATTTAGAGGTCCTTTCTGTTGTGTATGTCAGGACTCCTCTGCACTTATCCAGGGCAAATGGAGTTTTGTCTCCTCTGTGCAGAGAAAGACTTTAGTTACTGGGTAAAACACATTTTCAGCCAGAATCCCTTTATGGGACCTAAAAAACCTAATGGGTAAGGCCACTCACACACCACAAGAAAAATAAAGATGGGAATCAATTCAGTTAGACACAAACATTCCTGTCATAAAATCAGGCCTACTACTTGTCCTACATGGCTCAGGAAGCCTTCTATTTTCCAAAGCCCAAAGGGCTGCAGATGCTTGGGCAATGAGCACTCCCTTGAGATGGGAGCTGCTCCATAAACACTCCCTCCAGGGGAAGTTGGTCCATGTGGGCCCCAGGGAGGCCTGGGTGCAGGTTGGTGAGCCTGAGAGAAAAGGAATACTCCCTTTTCTTCTCTTTCAGATGAGTAATATTTTTCTACAGGATCCAGGCCCCCTGGATGAAAGGTTGAATGAGAAAACAAGTGTGATTCCCTTGTCTTCTTTTTCAGGTAGGACCTTTCTGATTTCCTTCTCTCTTTCATTTGGGTTATGTCAAGGACACATCTGAACCATGAGATTCCTAATGCCAGAACTTGTAGACTCATCGAAGGGCACTTTGTTGAGGTCCTTTCTCTGCAAGCTCTAGTGGGTGTGAAACCCACTTGATAGTCCCATAGACAGATTTTTTTTTTTTTTTGGATAAACAGAAATTGACCTTTCTGATCTTAAAGCTTGAAATTTATATTTATCTGAGTTCCTTCCTCAGGAAATGACTTTCCTGCATCTCAAAAATAGTATCAAAGAACTGAAACTCACCAGATCTGAAAATCATCCAGATATGAGATGACACACCCCTCATTGGTCATGATTATTTCCTTACCCCTCCCTAGTTCCTGTTTTCCAACATTGTTACATTTCTTCCCTGTTGTATAAACCCCTCATTTTAGTTAATCAAGGAGATGTAATTGAGACTGATCTCCTGTTTTGGCTGCAGCATGTTATTAAAGCCTTCTTCCTTGGAAATTGTTGTTGTCTCAGTGGTTGGCTTTCTGTGTGGTGAGTAGCAGGACCTAAACCAAACTCCTGGTGTTTTGGTAACAGTGGCACGATGAATGGGACTCTTAATAGACCAGGTCACCAGGAATCCAGATCTCCATACCCCAGGATTTCCCCCACTCAAATGTACCCTTAAAAATTGAAATAAATTTGACTTTCAAACCCTAAAACTAAAAAGATAAAACTAATTTTCCTTTACATAACTATGAAAATCCTGGCCAAAGAATGGAAGTACAAATTTTAATACTATCCTTCAGATGGACCTTTTCTGCCACCATCAGGACAAATAGTCAGAGGTCCCATATTTACAAACCTTCATGGTCTTAAGGGAAGACCCTCACCTTTGTAAAGCTTGTAAAGTAGATGCCACTGTCTTAACTATGCTTAGACACCTGATCCAGAGCCCATGGAGAAGACTTGGAAACTCTCATGCACACTCCCCTCAGCCTCCTCCTCCAGAGGCCAAAGAGGGAGAAACAGCTACCCCCTGGCTCTTCCTCCAGGCTCTGCCCATTACAAGAGGTAAGTGAACCAACCAGATAAACCCAGGTCCAGGTCCTCTTTACCAGGTAGGACTTTTGCCAAGTTACGGAAAACCTAGGAAAGTTGTTGGGTGACCCCAAGAGACTCATAAAGGGCTTTCAAAATTGACATTTACCTTTAGATTAATAAAGGTTTTTTATATCTGCTAGGACAAGCCTTCTCATGAGAAAAAGTCAAACCATCAGTGAGGCAGCACTCCACTGTGGGGATGACCTACATGTAGGCCTGCTGAGGCCATGTGCATTCCTCATCAGGATCCCAGTTGGAACTGCAATACCCAAACTGCCTCAGACACTAGGAAAAATATTTTAAAATTTGGCCATAGTTGGCTCAGGTCCTTATTAAAATCTGAAAAATGGGTCCCCTAAATCCCAACAAATCCCTTTATGGAAAAGACTTTTCACTGTGTTACTTTCCACTCCAACAACAATTAAGATTTCTGATATCCATAGTTGGATCCATCATTCCCACATAAATACCTAGAAAGGCTCCAAATAACTAGAAACAGAACAAACACCCAGTTACTTTTGTGAACCACTGGAGGACCTGAAGTTTCTCTTCAAACAAAAAGATAAGTAAATGCCTTCTCCTTTCTCATCTCAGAGTTTTCAGATCCAAAACATCAAACAGATAATGTTGCATTAACATAAAATAGCCTCAATATTGGGAATCTTATTTATAGGGAACAGAAGAAAATGAAAATAAGGTAAAAAGAAAGAAAAAACACAAAGTAGGGGAAAGTGATATAAAAAAGTTATGAATATGAAGATGCATTTTTGGTAAAGAAGGTTATAAATGAAATAAGTTTTATATAAGGAAAGATCTTGTATGGTAAATTCTTGTCCTAAAGTAAAATGACTAAATACTTAGAAAAGAGGGAAGTTTAGGACAAGCTGGAAAGTTCAAGCATGTTACGGATGGTCTGTGTAAGTTGCAAAATGGGAAAGAAAAATGTAAAAACTGGCAAATAAAAATCTCACAACGACTGAAACTTCTTCTGTCTATATGTATGTATGTGTGTATATATATACACACATATGCATACAGACACACATATAGTGTCTGTGATGTACATATAAAAATGCTAATTAATTAGCTTAAAGAAAAAGTGATTAAATCAAATATTTTCTCAGGAAAATAGAAACTTCAGTGCCATTTAGTTCATGTGACTTTAGTAATCTTTGGCAAATAAAGACAGTTTTAAATATTATTTGTAACATAAAATGAGAATGTCTTCAAAATTTAGACATTTGGTATAAATTATGCAGGTAAGATATTAGGTCTACTAAATGCTTTAAAGTCATAAACTGCTTCTGTGACTTTTGATAAGTGTTCAACTTGCCTGATATAGAGCCATTAAATTCTAAGTAAAGCCTGGGGACACGTGCAGTTAGCCATTTCCCCTAGCTATGCTGGCAAGAGTCAGACTTTATTTGTGGTTGCATATCTATTCCTCCCTAACAATTGGAGGGGAAGTTTATCTCTGATTTGTCTTTCCTGTGATGTGGCCTTCCTAAACCAACCAGTCGGTTCCTATCCCCCTTACCTCCCAAGTTTGCATCTCAAGAGTAGCCATAGCTTTTCTCCCCTTACTTATGGCTCTGGGGCTAGAAACCAGATTAAGTGAAGTGGTAACAGGAGCTGCAGAAATTTTAAGCTCTCAACAAGAGCATGCCATGTTATCCCATGAGGATGGTCCACCAAAACCACCACACCTTAGACATCAGCATCTCAGCTCAGGGAGGAACCTCTGCTATACGTAAAAAAAGAATGTTGCTTTTATGTGAACTAGTCAGAAGTCATACAGGACAGCATTCAATGGCTACAAGAAAGAGGTAAACATCTACAGGCCAATTTTTGGGGACATGCAACATCCTTAATTGATTCTGGCCTCCTCTGTGGGCCCACTCTCCACTGTGATCCTTCTCCTCTTAGGTCCTTGCCTCATCAATTTATTAACTAAATTAATTTTCTCCCACATTCAGGCTACCAGTCTGCAAATGATACTACAGCAGGGATGTCAATCAATTATACCTGGAGGCCCCAAAACCTATGCACACACCTTGGTTTGGATGCCAATGGGCAAAAGTTTCAGGAAACAATGGAGGAACTCCTTCCAAGACAGGAAGACAGTGAGACTCTGATGTATTCTTCATCTTATGTCAGCAGGAAATAATTATAGAAGACCTACACATCCTTATATCCAAAGATTTTCAGAGTGTCAATTGCTTGAGGGGGGAACATTAGAGTAGGCAGATAGATAGACATGAGCATGAAAGGCAGCCCTGGGAAAGGCATCCTTGGAGATACTTCTAAACGAGACTCAGCAAAAAACAGTGGCTACAATGGCTGCATCTGGCCTTGTGGTTGGGCTTATCTGGTCTTGACTGGGACTTATTAGGCCCTGGCCGGAGATAACCAGCAGAATCTTTAACCCCTGACAAGCATGCACACTCCTCAAATAACTCACCCTAGAGTAGACTTTGCTCATTATAATAGTAAAAAATACACCCCTGGGAGGAAATTGAAGATGACAGTGAGACACACAACATATGTACTAGCATGTACGGCCATAATACAAGTGCACCCAGAGAGCTGCCAAAAATATGTTTGCTAGTGGCACCCCTTTACATCTTCTTAGTGAATAATCATGTAAGATCCCCACAAAGGGGATTTCCCTGTTTTAGCCAATGCTAGCTCATTCTCCCAAGCAGCTTGTTCTGCCTTGTCTTTCAGAGTGTACTGTCACTTTATATAAACTCTGCTACTACTTAGCCCTTGCTGCATGTCCCTTGGCTGAATTCCTTCTTCCGAGAAGACAAGTACTAAGGACCCCATACGTCCCAGTGACAATCTTATCTTTCAACATCAACCCTTACTATCTCTCACATGTCTACTTCTTCTGTAATAGTGTCTTAGCATAGAGGGATTGAATAGTTTAAATTTCTGGCCCTTTGTCTCACAAAAGCATTTCATTTCGATTGCCACCTTCTGACAGGTCTGAAGATGACTGGTGTCAATGCAATAAGAGTCAGTGCCTTTTTTAGATCCAGGGGTTAAAGCCCTATAACTTAGTACAATAATTAGTTAATAGGACATTTATACTGCAGAAAGTCCTATAATTCTCTCTGATATGTCACAAGTTAAAACACTGTGATTAGGTGTTTAGCAGTTACTGCCTGTAACACTTCAAACACTGTATTAAAATAGTTAGGTTACTATATTCGTATGTCTAATTGCTGGCATTCTAGTGACAGAACTATGACTACAAGCATCACAAATATGATAGGTCCTATGCCAAACAAAGTAAGATAACTATCTTCTCTCTCCATCATTAAAAAAATGGTAAATATAAATATCAGTTTTAGAAACTCAGCAGGAGGATAAATAATCTTCCACTGAAATTCTGTACAACAAAATAGGGCCAAAGTAGAACCATTACACAACTTCTTTTCTTCCATGTCTGTATTTATGTTTTTGAGACAGGGTCTTACTCTGACAACCAGGCTGGAGTGCAATGATGAAATCTTGGCTCACTGCAGCCTCAACTTCACAGGCTCAAGTGATCCACCCACCTCAGCCTCCAGAGTAGCTGGGACTACAGGCACACACCACCATGCCCGGCTAATTTTTAAATTTTTAATTTGTAGAGACAAAGTTTCGCTAGGTTGCCCAGGCTGGTCTTGAATGCCTGAGCTCAAGCAGGCTGCCTGCCTTGGCATCCCAAAGTGCTGGGATTACAAGTGTGAGACATTTCAGCTATTTAAAAGAGTATCATAACACTTTTCCAAGATTGGTTTCTAGATAAGGTACTGACAACTGATTAGGTAAATTTTACCACTAGAATCTTCAAACCAGTGTGATGCTTGTACATATATTGTTTTTAAGTATACATATGAAGGCATATCAGTGATAAATGGCTTGGGTTCAAAAATCACTAGAAAGTCTCACATTTTTAAAATTACTACTTAATCCAAATGAATATCACTTAATGTTAATATTGGTAAACACAACTAAAGTAGTTTAGGAGAAATCCCAATCAATATAATTTTCTTAACGACAAGGCCAGTCTTTCCTGAACATTAAAACTTTGTATCCATATCACAGTTTTCCCTCATTACCTAAAGGAAAACATCTGAAACCACCTCAAATTATTGATCGAATTGAATTACTGTGGAAATAAACACCATTTCAACATTTGTACTCTCACCTTCTTTTTCAAATAACAAAAAGTGTACTGTTTTGGCCAGGTGAGGTGGCTCACATCTGTAATCCAAGCACTTTGGGAGGCTGAGGCAGGCAGATTACCTGAGGTCAGGAGTTTGAGACCAGCCTGGCCAACATGGTGAAACTCCATCGCTACTAAAAATACAAAAACTAGCTGGGTGTGGTGACAGGGGTCTGTAATCCCAGCTACTCGGGGAGGCTGAGGCATGAGAATCCCTTGAACACAAGAGGCAGAGGTTGCAGTGAGCTAAGATGGCACCACTGAACTCCAGCCTGGGTGATGGAGCAAGACTCCATTTCAAAACAAAAGTCCTATTTCTGCTCAGAACTTCTAAAAATGTCTTTATTTATTTATTTATTTTTATTTATTTATTCATTATTTTTTGTTGGGGAACTTAAAGCTCTTGTAGCTATCTAGATCATCAGAGATAAGCAAAATGAATTAAGTTTATTTTATTATTATTATTATTATTACTATTATTATTATTATTTGAGACAGATTCTTGCTGTGTCTCCCAAGCTGGAATGCAGTGGCGAGATCTCGGCTCACCACAACCTTCATCTTCCAGGTTGAAGCAATTCTTCTGTCTCAGCCTCCCGAGTTGCTTGGATTACAGGTGCATGCCACCACACCTGGCTAATTTTTGTATTTTCAGTAGAGACAGGGTTTTGCCATGTTGGCCAGACTGGTCTCGAACTCCTGACCTTAGGTGATTTGCCCACCTCGGCCACCCAGAGTGCTGGGATTACAGGCGTGAGCCACCATGCCTGGCCAGCAAAATGAATTAAGTTTTAAATAGCTGGGAAACTCTATCAATTTTTGGAGGTTTGGCAAGACAGATTAGGAATTTTAGATAAATAAAGCAAATGATAAATTGTTGGAAATGCATAGGAAACAAAGTGACTATTCATAGAACTAAATAAAAAATCCTTCCATTAGAAACTAAAAAACATACATATGTTTTTATATATGTTATATAATATTTTATATATACGTGTTTCTTAGTTTCTAATGGAAGGATTTCTATTTCTAATGGAAGGATATATATATATCCCAAAGGAAAACAAACAGCAAATAAATGAAAATTAGAAGCAAAAACAAATAAACAGGAAACCAACCCCCATTTTTTCTCCTACTCAATTCACCTTGGAGTCTACAATGTTACCCAGAGCCTGAAAAGCACAGGATGAATATTTCGTTCCTGATATACATATTAATGTCTTTAAGTCCACCAATACTACTATATATTTTGTGCAATTCGGGAATTCACTTTAGGTATGTGACCAGTAAGTACTTTAGTGGTAGTCCTATCTATGCAAAATCGCAAATATAGTGTGAAGCAATGCAAGCACTTACGTGAAATTCAGCTCCATGCTAAGTCTGGCTTCATGCTTACCTATATTAAAAAGAGTTGCCAAATTGCCAATGTATTTCTTTACAATATTTTTTAACTTACTGCCATCAAGACTAAGAACTTTATGAGCAGTTTTAATTGACCAAATTTTTCCAATTTTCTATGAAGTTTTAAAGAATATTTTACTGCCTAATATATTACTATCTTTTCAACTTTCTATTTTCTCTACATATGCATGAAGATAGACACACAGAGAAATAGGAAAAAAGACTATGTATGACTTATATAGATCATCTATGATATGCTTGGACTTTCTGCTTTGTCCTAATTTTTTTTTTTTTTTTAATAACCATTCATTTTACTTTAGGACTAAAATTCACCATACAAATTCATTTCTCGTAAAAAATTATTCTCTTTTCTTTACAACTTTCCTTACTGTAAATATATCTTCATATTTCTAACATTCTCCACATCTCTCTCCCTTATGTACTGATTCCTTTCTACTCTGTTTCTATAAATATCCCTTTTCAACTCCATAATTTGAGTTAACCTTTAGACAACTTCTGAATTAGAAGATATTATTCTTTTTTTGCAGTGAAAACACATCTTCTTTGGCACATTTTATATACAGAATTATATATTAACTAGAATTCTTTTTCTTAATAACCTTAAATTTTAGTGAAAACCTAAGAAGCAAGAAATCTTGAACTATCAGATATTAGTATTTTATAGACGAGAACATTCCACAGTTTTTAGAGGTATATTCCCCCTGTATCACAACTCCTTCTTAACTGGCAATGACTCAGACATCCTACAAGCGCCTATTATTCAATCGAAAATAACTTTCATATTTAAATTACACGGAGAGTTCACCAACAGCATTTATCCCATTTACATGTACTCAATTCTCTCATTTTTAAACAGCTTATCTAGATTTCTTCTGAAAACCAAAATATTAAACAAAGCTAATCATTGTTTCAAGTTATTTCTTTCTTAATGATTTTTAATAGCCTGTGAATATCAGATGTTCACCTAAATAAGAACCTTAAAATTAAATATATAGGTATTTTGCTAATATGATAACTCAGAAGATTCAGCTGTTTTTATTAAGCTAACAATAATAATTTAGTCTTATTTGTCCAAAAAGTCACACAAACAAAATCATTATGTTTTGGCTGGGTTCATAGTTTTATAACCTTCTGTGTCAAAACCTAACACCTCAAAATATCTAGCAGACACAAATATAAACCCAGGAAAAATGTATGCTGACAATTCTGAAGATATTCCTATTTTTATTTTACCAATAATTTTAAACCAGCTTGTTTATTAAAGATTTACTTAAGTCACATGAACTTTTAAATTGCTTGGACTTATTTATTTATAAGCATTCTTACTTATAAGCCATATTGGTACTGTGTAAAACAACATGTAACATCTAGACACACACACACACACACACACACACACACACACACACACACACACACACACACACACAAAGAACCAATAGCTTTTACCTCAGAATTCTAGCCATGAGACAGCAATACAAACTCTCTGGTCTATGAACATTTTCAGATGGCCAGACTTTGTCCTGATAGGTAATCCAATGAAAGCTGTGAACCAAAATTTTGGGTAAAGCAATTTCCATGGCAGTTTTATTTGTAAAGGCAAACCTTCCCAGATTCCAGAGAACACTGGAGGCCAAACAGCACCACAGAACATCACCTGGAACCTACTAACCAGACCCAATTCTGCTTAGAACAGCAGAATAAAAGCCTGAATACACAGAACTCCATCTCACTTTCCCATTCAACAGCAAACTCCAGGTTCCAAAGAACATTGGAACTAAACATTATTACAAAAGAGTAACAGCTTATTAAATTCTAATTTCCCATGACTATATCAACACACACAGAAACAATCACCAAAACACAATGTAACTGCTGCCTCAGAAAACAAGCTCCCTGGCATGTCTAAACTGAAACAGTCAGGGTGCTTCTCTTTCTTAGTCAGTTGGGCTTGTCCCAGATGTAGAGAGAAATTCCTTTAAAATTTCCAGTATTAAGAGGAGCAGATCCTGCTGTCTGGGCCAATAAAGGACACTAACCTATCTGGACGCAGATGTCAAATTTCAAAAGCTGCTTGTCCTAGGCAACCAGGAATGTGGTTGATGCCAGCAGTGATGGGGCCATAAGGACAGAGAAATACCCACCTTCAGCCAAAATAGGGTCAGGAGGCTGCTTAGGAAGGCTTCCAAAACTCTCAGCACAACTCAGCTGAGCCACAAGCAACGTGGTCTCAGTTAGAGAATCAAAATTTGTTACCTAAACACCAGGGGTTGGGTCTGGGTCCTGCTGTCTCTGCATAGAAGGCCAATCACTGAGAAAATGAAGATAGTCAGGGAAAAGGTTCTATTTGGGTGCTACAGCTGAGGAGAGGAGATGGGAGATCAGTCTCAAATCCATCTCCCTAACTAAAATAAGGGGTTTATAGAACAAAAATGTAACTATGTGCAGGGCAAGAGAATTAAGGAGAACTAAGGAAGAGGAGTTGATCAATAGGAAGCAAGTCGTTGCTTAGGCAATTGTGACAGGTGAGGGGTACCTCATTGTCCACATGTGGTGATCTGGTAAGTTTCAGTTCCTTAATACTATCTGGGAATCCCGGTGGTTGCTTTCCTGAGAAAGGAACCCAGATAAGACAAATATAACTTTCTCAGGTTTCAAAACTGGGAGGGTCAATTTCTATGTTTATCAAAAAGAAACAATAAACATCAGTTCTATGGAACAATTGGATAGGTTTCAGTACCAGTAGCTACTGGTTTGAAACACTCTTCCCAGCTCCTCCTTCCTGGTCTCCTCTCCATCTCTCCATCCCTCCAAAGTTGGTAGTGGAAAGTCTTCAAACAAGTATCAGGGTGAGGGTCAGTGGGAGAGATTCATTCCTCTCATCTCAAGCCACAGTGGAGAAACACACTGAAAGAAGGAAAGATGGGCATACTTCAGCATTTTTCCCCTGTTCTTTTCTCTACAAATGTCATTTGTAAAATGTTAAAGTATAAATAGTGCAGTGTATGCTGAAACCTTGACTGTTGCCTTTTCCTGCGTTTTCCCTTTGGGACTTGTGTCTGGCTTATCCTTGTGTGCTCTGTGATATAGCTTGGATATTTGTCTCCACCCAAATTTCATGTTGAGTTATAATCCCCAGTGTTGGATGTGGGGCCTGATTGGGAGGTGTTTGAATCATGGGAATGGATCCCTCATGGCTTGCTGCTGTCTTCATGATAGTGAGCTCTAATGCGATCTGGTCATTTGAAAGTGTGCGGCACCCCCTGCCCCCACACCCACACACACTCTCTCTCTGGTGCTCTCGCTCCTGCTTTCACCGTGTGACATGCCTGCTCTCCCTTTGCCTTCCATCATAATTGTAAGCTTCCTGAAGCCTCCCCAGAGGCAGATGCCAGTGCTGTGCTTCCTGTATAGCCTGCAGAACCATGAGTGAGTTAAACCTCTTTTCTTATAAATTACCCAGTCTCAGGTATTTTTTAATAGCAATGCAAGGGTGGCCTAATACACTCTGATAGTAAGGCTAGCTTTTGTATAGTGTCCTGGCCCATGCTATGTGCCCACCTGCCTAGAGAAGACTCTCGTGATGATCAAACTTTGAAAGAAGACGACAGCTTTGTTACTTGTCATACTTTCACCCTGACCCTTTTTTTGTTTGTTTTGTTTTTGAGACAGAGTCATGCTCTGTCACCAGGCTGGAGAGCGGTGGTGAAATCTCGGCTCACTGTAACCTCTGCCTCTTGAGTTCAAGCGATTCTCCTGCCTCGCCTCCCAAGTAGCTGGGATTACAGGTGCCTGCCACCACGTCAGGGTATTTTTTTATTTTATTTTATTTTATTTATTTATTTTTTGAGATGGAGTCTCTCTCTGTCACCCAGGTTGGAGTGCAATGGTGCCATCTTGGCTCACTGCAAGCTCCGCCTCTTGGGTTCATGCCATTCTCCTGCCTCATCCTCCTGAGTAGCTGGGACTACAGGCGCCCGCCACCATGCCCAGCTAATTTTTTATATTTTTAGTAGAGACGGGGTTTCACTGTGTTAGCCAGGATGGTCCCGATCTCCTGACCTGGTAATCTGCCCACCTCGGCCTCCTAAAGTGCTGGGATTATGGGCATGAGCTACCACGCCCGGCCTCACCCTGACTCTTAAAAACATACTTTAAAAAATTACAATTTCCTCTTGAAATAATGGATCTACTGCAATGATCATCACAGGCTGATACGAATACTAGGCCCAAAGCTGATGGGGTTGGATGAGTCTGATAACACCGGAATGGGCTTATCAATGTTAGCACCACTCAGTGGAAAACCAGATTCTCATCTGATGGAAGCACACAAAACCATCTATGATGTATTTGTGCCAAGAAAGCAAACATGAGCTGTTCAAGCCTCTAGGTCTAGCTACCAGCTTAGAGTAAAAATGGAAACAAAAGTCCAAATCCCTGAAAACTGGGGATATAACCAGCAAAATCCAGAATGTGGGAAACTGCAGAACAAATGACTCTATTTCATTCCCAGATGCATTGCAGGAAAAATAAAGATACAGGAGGAACTCTAAGTTTAAAATGATTTGAGACCTTTCAAACAAATATTCAGATCCAAATTTGAACAAACCAACCATTAGAAAACATTTATGAGATAATAATTAGAGCAATTTAAAAACTGACTAGATATATGACAATAAGGAATCTTTTTTTAAAGTGTTGTAATTGTGTTGAGGTCGTACTTTTAAAAGAGCTCTTGTCTTTTAGAAATACATACTAGGCAGGATGCAGTGGCCTTGGGAGGACAAGGCAGGTGGATCAGTGGAGGCCAGGAGTTCGAGACCAGCCTGGCCAACATGGCGAAATGCTGTCTCTATTAAAAATACAAAAATTAGCTGGGTGAAAAAAATTGCCGAGTTTGTTGGCACGTGCCTGTAGTCCCGGCTACTCAGGAGGCTGAGACAGGAGAATCGCATGAACCTGGGGGGTGGAGGTTGCACGGAGCAGAGACCATGCCACTACGCTCCAGCCTGGGTAACAGTGCTTGGTACTGTTTAAAAAAAAGAAAGAAAAGAAAATGAAATACATACTATAATGTACATGTATGAAATTATATGATGTCAAAAATTTGGTTCAAGTGGTCCAATAGGGGTGTGATGAGTGGGGGGAATATAGATGAAATGGTATTGCTCACATGGTGATGACTGCTGAAGTTCATTATACTGTTCATTATGTCCATGAAGTTCATTATACTGTTCCCTCTACCATTGTACAAATCACACATTTTCCATAATAAATGTTTTTTTAATAGGGGATATGGAAAACAGGATTTCAAAATAAACATTTCTTATTCTATATCTAGTTGTAGCTTGAACCATGGAATATTTTTAGGCTATGTGAAAAATTATTCATTTTAATTTTAAGCTCTGTTTTGTGGACATACCTTTGGACCGAGGTATGTCATCCTCAGTCTCTTTTTCTGTTCTATATTTGCATCATCTTATTGAAAAGGGCAAATATAAAGACTGTATTTTAAGAAGGTACAATCTCTATGGGATTATTTTGGTAGATATTTTAAATAAAATATATGCATCGCTTTTATTTTTTTATTTTTTTGAGATGGAGTCTTGCTCTGTTGCCCAGGCTGGAGGGCAGTGGCGAGATCTTGGCTCACTGTAACCTCCGCCTCCTGAGTTCAAGCAATTCTCCTGCCTCAGCCTCCTGAGTAGCTGGGACTACAGGTGCCTGCCACGATGCTCAGCCAATTTTTGTATTTTTAGTAGAGACGGGGTTTCACCATGTTGGCCGGGCTGGTCTAGAAATCCTGACCTCAAATGATTTGCTCCCACTTTGGCCTCCCAAAGTGCAGGGATTGCCAGCGTGAGCCACCGCGCCCAGCCTGCATTGCTTATTTTTTACACAACTACTTCTGCAGTCCAGGAAGAAAAAAAAACTAAAAAAGAAAGAAAATAAAACAAAAGTGCTAAAAGGGCCTTCCTTAATATTATAGAGTCAAGATTATTTGACACCTAAAATGGTGTCATTTAAAAAAATGCATATTAAATGGAAGCTAACAGACACTCTTTGTCTTCTACTTCATTTGCATTCAGATCAATATTGCAAATTAATTGTTTAAACACTGCTGGAAAAGCTGGCAGCGCATTGTTTTTGTTTTTTGTTTTCGTTTTTGGCAATTTTAAGTGGAAATGAAGGCATTTGGAATCAATTCAAAGACTAATTGCTTTTGGGAGGAGTTCTCGTGAAGCTAGCTGTAATCAGTAACTAAAATATTTCTTTTTAACATATTGACTTACGTATTACTTTTCAAACACTCCTCTTGTTTAATTCTGCAAACAATTCAGAAACTCAGTAATCTGTTGAAAATCTCTGCCCTGTAGGATCTCTCCTTTTTTTAAATACAACAGAAAAACAAGATGAATAATTTACCAATTTCTACTATGAATTCTACTAATGGGAAGACATGTCTTGCTAACAAAATGGAATAGGTAGCACTAAAACCCAGAAATTCAAATTAAGCAATTTAGTCTTGTATTTTTATTATTTAGCCTAGCACGAGTAAAGAGGCTTCCTAACAGAAAAGAAAAGGAAAGAAAACCCTGTAGGAGAAGCGGCATCCATCAACTGGCGCTTAATGAAATTGTATGACTCTTTAAATTCAAGTACTCATTTTTATTAAGAATATCTAAAAAATTCAGAATTATTTATGTGCAAAAAGATATTCATGGCTTTGCTTTTCACCTAATAAATAGCAGAAAGCTAAAGCATTTTCTTATCTTAGAAATATGCCTATAATAGTATCTATGAAAAACTAATGCTCTGCGACAGAAAGAGCAGCACTTCTTTGTTTTATGTGAGAATGTTCCTGCTCAGAGACAAAGGGTTTTTCTGCTTCTTTCATTACAAATCCTTTTATTCTATATGGCTGTGGTTGGTTGGGCCTATTCATTCCATAACTTGCATCCTTATTGGGGAAGGGCATGTTACTTTCAATAGAGGTTTGTGCCACTGCTGCTTAATCCCCCATCCTCTTCCAGCTTACCAACACTTAAATCAAGCTGTATCTATCTAGTGCTTATCACTTTCTTGTTCAGTCTTGCTTTTGGATGAACATACTAAATACACTAATAGCACACTGAGTATGTTGTATTTTAGAAATACATGGTAACATGTATATGTATAAAATGATATAATATTAAAAATTTGCTTCAAATAGTCCAATGGGCGTTAGGGGGATCAGTGGGAAACTTGTCTTCTGATAATCTCAAATAAAGTCCTAGAGTTAAAATGGAAAAAGTTAAACTCAGTTACTTTGGAGACACTATAGGTTATTTGGCCTCCTTCCTCAAAGTCAATCAGATAAACAAAAGTGGTGAGTGACATCACTGAAGCATGTAGAAAGGAAACATGTGCCCAGGACAGCTATATAATTTGCAATGCAAAATGAAAATGTAGATACCTGTGTTCAAAATGTCAGAAAAAAGTGTAGTTAAAACTACTAAAATATAAAGTTTCTTTCTTTAAAATACTTTATTATTTATACAATGTAATATGGGTAAAGGTGATACATAAACTTACAAAATATTTTTGGTGTCATAATTTTATATAATACAAAAATCATAATACTTTATTAATGTGATATTTTGATTATCATAATACTTTTCAGAATGGTTTTTCTTCAGATTCATTTATTCAGTTTTTATACTTCCAGAAACTGTATTTTTTACTCTTTAGCTTTTTTAAATAGGTTTTATTTTTTCATAGCAGTTTTATGTTCACAGCAAAATTGAGTGGAAGCTTCAGTGACTTCCCATATGTGCTCTGCCCTCAAACATGCATAATTTCCCACATTATCAACAAAGGGGTTCAGAGTACAAGCACCAAAATATGGCAAGCTGGCATAAAGATCTTTTCAAACTGAAAATGATTAAGAAAAAGCACATACAGGGTGAGCTCTTTGCCCTCCCCCTATTTGCCTGAAAATAGAACAAAAATTTCCCTCTGAAGGTGTTCCCCCTCCAACTACAATTTCTGTACCAGGAAAGGAATAACAAATTTATCACCAGAGATGACATGACTACAAAAGGAGTCTACACAAACAAGCTTTATGAAATAACACTTATCATCCATTAATTTCCTTCCATAGATTTACTTTCCCACAGTTTGTCTCCCTCGGAAGCCTAAAACCTTTTCTTTTGTGTTGTCATTTCTCTACAAAGTTATTACTCTTTTGTTAAGATGAAATTTTACTCACCACTGAGTTTCTCCCACCTATATGTATGCTGCAGGTGTTAATAAACTCTTGTTTTTTTCTCTTGTTAATCTGTTTATTTATTTATTTTTATTATCAGCCTAATTTGCAGGCCTCCAGGTGAGAACTTAGGCAGGTAGAGGAAAAAGATTTTTCCCTCCCTACATCAATGTCCCTTACCAGGGTGGTACATTTCTTGCAACTGATGGGCCTACATTCACACATCAATATCACCCAAAGTCCATAGTTTACAGTAGGGCTCACTCTTGCTGTTATAGATTCTATACCTTTGAACAAATATATAATGGTACGTATCCATCATTCTAGTGTACAGAGTAGTCTCGCTGCCCTTAAAATCCTCTGTGTCCCACTTATTCATCCCTTTCTCCCTCCAATTCTTGACAACCACTGATCTTTCTGTCTCCATAGATTTTTAGATTTTCCTTTTTCAGAATGTCATAAGGTTGGAATCACACAGTATGTGGCATTTTCAGATTGGCTTCTTTCACTTAGTAATATGGACTTAGCTTCCTCCATGTCTTTTCCTGGGTTGACAGCTCTTTTTAGTGCTGAATAATATTCCATTGTCTGGATGCACCACGGTTTACTTATCCATTCAGCCACTGAAGGCCATCTAAGTGGCTTCCAAGCTTTGGCAATTGTGAATAAATCTGCTATAAACATAATTGCTCAGATTTTTGTGTGGACATAAGTTTTTAACTCCTTTGGGTAAATATCAAAGAGTACTACTGATGATTTACATAGTAAGAGAATGTTTACTTTTGTAAGAAATCACCAAATTGTCTTCCAAAATGGCTGTTCCATTTTGTATTCCCACCAACAATGAATGAGAGTTCCTGTTGGTCCACATCCTCACCAGCATTTTGTGGTATCAGTATTCTAGATTTTTGCCATTCTAATAGGCATGTAGTGTTACTTCATTGTTTTGATTTCCATTTCGCTGATGACATATGATGTAGAGCATGTCTTCATACGCCTATTTGCTATCTGTATATCTTGTTTGATGAGATGTCTGTTAAAGTCTTTGACCCATTTTTTTTTTGAGACATGGTCTCACTCCATCTCCTAGGCTGGAGTTCAGTGGCCCAATGGCTCACTGCAACCCCTGCTCCCTGGGCTCAAGTGATTCTCCTACCTCAGCCTCCTGGGTAGTTGGGACCCCAGGCATGAGCCACCATGTCTGGCTAATTTTGTGTGTGTTTTTTATAGAGATTGGGTTTTGCCATGTTGCCCGGGCTGAACTCGAATTCTTGGGCTCATGAGATCCTTCCACCTTGGCCTCCCATAGTGCTAGCATTATAGGCATGAGCCACCACACCTGGATCCTCTTTGGCCTACTTTTAAATGGTGTTGCTTGTTTTCTTATTGTTGAGATTTGAATGATTTTGGTATATTTTGGATAAGAGTCCTCTGTCAGATATATATGTATTTTATAGAGATGAAGTCTTGCTATGTTACCCAGGCTGGTCTTGAACTCCTAGGCCTCCCAAAGTACTGGGATTACAAGAGTGATCCATCACGCCTGGCCTGTCAGATGTATCTTTCGCAAAATATTTTCTTTCAGTTCTGTGGCTTGTCTTTTCATTCTCTTGACAGTGTCTTTCACAGAGCAGAAATGTTTAATTATAATGAAGTACAGCTTATCAAATGTTTTATTTCATGGATCATGCCTTTGGCATTATATCTAAAATATCATCATCAAATGCAGGGTTAACTAGATTTTCTCCTATGTTATCTTCTAGGATTGTTATAGTTTTGCATTTTACATTTAAGTCTGTTTCATTTTGAGGTAATTTTTGTGAATGGTGTAATGTCTGTGTCTAGAATGATTTTTACATGTAGTTGTCCAGTTGTAGTACTATTTTTTGAAAGGACTATCTTTTGTTTATTGTAATGCCTTTGTCTTTTTGTCAAAGATCAGTTGACTATATTTACTTAGGCCTGTTTCTGGACTCTTTTCAGCTCCATTTATCTGTTTGTTTGTTCTTTTATCAATACCATACCACCTTGATTTCTGTAGCTTTATAGTAAGTTTTGAAGTTGAATAGTATCAGTCCTCCATCTTTGTTCTTCTTCTTCAAAACTAGGTTGGGTATTTTGGAAGTTTTGCCTCTTCATATAAACTTTAGAATCAGTTTGTCAATATCCACAAAATTACTTGCTGAGATTTTAGTTGAGATTGCTGTGAATCTATAGATCAACTTAAGAAGAACTGACATCTTGACAATATTGGGTCATCTTATGCATGGACATGGAATATCTTTCAATTTCTTTAGCTATTTAATTTCATCAGAGTTTTGCAGTTTTCTTCATTCCAAGTTTGTAAATCTTGTACTTATTTTGTTAGGTTTATACCTAAGTATTTTATTTTTGGGGGTGCTAAAGTAAATGGTATGGGGTTTTAATCTCAAATTCCATTTCATGGTTGGTATGCAGAAGAGTGATTGACTTTTGCATGTTAACCTTGTATCCTGCAACGTTACTATAATAGGTTATGAGTCCCAGGAGTTTTTTTTACTGACTTATTCAAATTTTCTACATAGACAGTTATGTCATCTATGCACAAAAACAATTTAATTACTTTCTTCTCAATCTGAATATATTTTATTTCCTTTCTTTGTCTTATTGCATAAGTTAGGACTTCCAGTATGATGTTGAAAAGCAGTGGTGAGAAGGAACATCCTTGTCTTTTTCCTGATGTTGGCAGAAAAGCTTCTAGTTTCTCATCAAGAGGATGTTAGCTGTAGGTTTTCATAGGTGTTCTTTATCAAGTTGAGGAAGTTTCCCTCATTAGTAGCTTGTTGAGAGTATTTATCACAAACAGGTATTGGATATTGTCAAATACTCTTTGTACATATATTGATATGATCATGTGATTTTGTTTTCAGGGTGTTGATGTGTCCCAGCCCTCAGTCCCATGGGGCGGGCTAGAGCCAGCTGGAGCTGGGTATCTCCCTTCCCCCAGATCAGTTAGTCTCTGATAAAATCTCCCAGAAGTTATGTGTTGGTTAAATAGTTTTTCCAGAGGGTAGATGTTGTTTAAAAAAAAAAACCCAGAATGCTCTGGAGTATTTTTATTTTATTTTGTTTTATTTATTTTATTTTAAGTTTCAGGGTATATGTGCAGGATGTGTAGGTTTGTTACATAGGTAAAGATGTGCAGTGAGTGATTGTGCTACCCCACCTGGAAAACCACGCTTTTTCCACAGGTCTGTGTAACTCACAGATGAGGAGATCCCCTGGTGAGCCCACACCACAAGGGCCTTGGGTCCCAAGCACAAAGCTGTGCAGATTCTCTGTGGCTGCCCAGCTGGAGACTGCCTAAGACTCCAGAGTTCCCAGGGGGAAGGGTGGCCACCATCACTGTGGGTGCCTGCTGCCTAAGACGATGGAGCTCACAGGGTCTGAGGCAGCAGCCATCACTGCAGCTCCAGTCTGCCATTTTTCCCTGCTGGTACTTGGGGGTCTGGGAGGTTTGGACCCAGGAGTAATTCTCCAAAGTGCAGCATAGTGTCTGTGGCAGACTGTGGCCAGACTGCTTCTTTAGGCTGGAACAAGACCCATCTCTCTTCATCAGTTGGGTCCACCCTGCTGGAATTTCAGCAACTCCAGCCAGGGGTTTATGGACAGAACTCTGATTTCCCTGACACAGAGCCCCTGGGAGTGGGGGCTGGCTGGCCAATCTCTGTGGATCAGCAGACTTAGTCTTTTTCCCTCCTGGCTCTGAGGAATCCTGGCAGTCCGGACAAGTGGGATTTGGATTTACCCCAGTGCAGTGCACCCCGTCTGCCAAGGGGCAGCCAGAGTGCTTTGTTAAGTGGGTCCCTGATCCTGTGCCTCCTAACTGGGTGAGATCCCCCCACAACATTCCTTATACAGGAATGTTCCCACTGGCAACAAGTTGGTGCCCCTCTGGGACAGAGCTCTCAGAGGAAGGAGCAGGCAGCCATCTTTGCTATTCTGGAGCCTCTCCTGGTGACATCTACAGGGGTGGGAGAGACCCAGGCAAATAGGGTCTGGGGTGAACCCCGAACAAACCACAATGGCCCTATGGAAGAGGGGTTTGATCATTAAAGGAAAAAACAAAAACAGTAAGCAACAACAACAACAACAGCATCAAGAAAAAGTTCCCACAAAACCCCACCCGAGGCCAGCAGAGTCAAAGGTCAAAGCTAGATAAACTGAGGAGGAGGAGAAATAATCAATGAAAAAATGCTGAAAACTCAAAAAGCCGGAGTGCCTCTTCTCCTCTAAATGATCACAATACCTCACTAGCAAGGGTGCAAGACTGGGGCTGAGATGTATAAACTGTCAGAAGAAGGCTTCAGAAGGTGGGTAGTAACAAACTTCACTGAGCTAAAGAAGCATACTCTAACTCAATGCAAATAAGCTAAGAACCATGATAAAACATTACAGGAGCTGTTAACCAGAATAACAAGCTTAGAGAGGGACACATATGACCTTATGTAGCTGAAAAACACAACATGAGAACTTCACAATGCAACCACAAGTCTCAATAGCCAAACCAAGCAGAGGAAAGAATTTCAGAGTTTGAAGACTATCTTGCTGAAATAAGACAGGCAGACAAGTTTATGGGATTATGTAAAAAGACTGAACCTATGACTGATTGGGGTACCTGAAAGAGATAGGGAGAATTAAACCCAATTGGAAAACACACTTCAAGGTATCATCCAGGAGAACTTCTCCAACCTAGCAAGTAGGTCCAAGTTTCAAATTCAGGAAGTCTAGAGAACCCCAGTAAGTTACTCCATGAGAAGATCAACCCTAAGACATATAATCGTCAGATTCTCTGAGATCAAAATGAAGGAATAAATGTTCAGGGCAGCCAGAGAGAAAGGCCAGGCCATCTGCAAAGGGAAGCCTATCAGAATAACAGCAGACCTCTCAGCAGAAATCCTACAAGCCAGAAGACATTGGGGGTCCATATTCAACATCCTTGAGGAAAATAATTTCCAACCCAGAATTTTATATCTGGCCAAACTATGTTCATAAGTGAAGGAGAAGTAAAATCCGTTTCATATAAGCAAATGCTGAAGGAATTTGTCACCACCAGGCCTGCCTTGCAAGAGTTCATGAAGGAAGTACAAAATATGGAAAAGAAAAATCATTATCAGCCACTACAAAAACACACTGAAGTACACCGACCAATGATATTATGAACCAACTACATCAACAAGTCTGCAAAATAACCAGTTAACATCATGATGACAGCATCAAATTCACACATAACAGCATTAACCAAAAATGTAAATGGGCTAAATGCCCCAATTAAAAGACACAGAATGGCAAGCTGGGTAAAGAGTCAAGACTCATCTGTGTGCTGTACTCAAGAGACCCATCCCACATGCAAAGAAATACATAGGCTCAAAATAAGGAGATAGAGGAAAATCTACCAAGCAGATGGAAAGCAGAAAAATACAGGAGTTGCAATCCTCATTTCTAAAAAAAAATAGACTTTAAATTAACAAAGATAAAAAAAAGACAGGCCAGGTGTTTTGGCTCACACCTGTGATCCCAGCACTTTGGGAGGCTGAGGTGGGTGGATCATGGGGTCAGGAGATCAAGACCATTCTGGCTAATGTGGTGAAACCCCATCTCTATTAAAAATACAAAAAAATTAACCAGGCGTGGTGGTGGGTGCCTGTAGTCCCAGCTACTTGGGAGGCTGAGGCAGAAGAATGGCGTGAACCTGGGAGGGGGAGCTTGCAGTGAGCCGAGATCACACCACTGCACTCCAGCCTGGGCAATAGAGCGAGACTCCATCTCAAAAAAAAAAAAAAAAAAAAGAAAAAAGACAAAGAAGTGCATTACATAATGGAAAAGGATTCAATTTAACAAGAAGAGCTAACTATACTAAATGTATATGGACCCAATACAGGAGTACCCAGATTCATAAAACAAGTTCTTAGAGGCCCACAAAGAGACTTATACTCCTGCACAATAATAGTGGGAGACTTTAACACCCCACTCTTAATATTAGAGAGATCATTGATACAGAAAATTAACAAAGATATTCAGGTCTTGAACTCAGCTCTGGATCAGTGGACCTGATCAAGTGGACCTGATAGAGATCTTTAGAAGTCTCCATCCAAAAACAACAGAATATACATTTTCTTGTTGCCACATGGCACTTATTCTAAAATTGATCACATAATTGAAAATGAAACAGTCCTCATCAAATGCAAAAGTACTAAAATCATAACAGTCTCTCAGACCACAGTACAATCAAATTAAAACTCAAGATTAAGAAATTCACTCAAAACTACATGACCACATGTAAACTGAACAAACTGCTTCTGAATGACTCCAGGGTAAACAATGAAATTAAGACAAAAATCAAGAAGTTCTTTGAAACCAGTGAGAACAAAGAGTCAGTGTACCAGAAACTGAGATGCAGCTATGTTAAGAGGAAAATTTATAGCACTAAATGCCCACATCAACACGCTAGAAAGATCTTAAATTGAAATCCTAACATCATAACTAAAAGAACTAGAAAACCAAGAGCAAACAAACACTAAAACTAGCAGAAGACAAGAAATAACCAAGATCAGAGAAGAACTGAAGGAGACAGAGACATGAAAAGCCCTTCAAAAAGTCAACAAATCAAGGAGCTGTTTTTTTTAAATTAATAAAATAGACCATTAGCTAAACTAATAAATGAGAAAAAAGAAAAATCAAATAAACACAATAAAAATGATAAAGGGGATGTCACCAGTGACCTCACAGAAATACTAACAACCATCAGAGAATACTATAGACACCTCTATGCACAACAACTAGAAAATCTAGTGGAAATGGATAAATTCCTGGATACATACACCCTGCCAAGACTGAACCAGGAAGAAGTTGAATCCCTGAATAGAATAATAAAAAGTTCTGAAATTTAGGCAGTAATAAATAGCTTACTAACAGAAAAAAGCTCAGGACCAGACAGATTTGCAGCTGAATTCTACCAGGTGTACAAAGAGGAGCTAGTACCATTTCTTCTGAAATGATTACAAACAATTGAAAATGAGAGATTCTTCCCTAACTCATTTTATGAGGCCAGCATCATCCTGATACCAAAACCTGGCAGAGATACAACAAAAAAAGAAAACCAGGCCAATATCCCAGATGAACATTGTTGCAAAAATCCTCAATAAAATACTGGCAAACTGAGTCCAGCAGCAAATCAAAAAGGTTATTCACCAAGACCAACCTGGCTTCATCACCAGGATGCAAGGTTCATTCAACATATGCAAATCAATAAATGTAATTAATCACATAAACAGAACTAAAGACAAAAACCACATGATTATCTCAACAGACACAGGCAAAGCCTCTGATAAAATTCAATATCCATTCATGTTAAAAACTCTCAATAAACTAGGTATTAATGAAACATATCTAAAAATAATAAGAGCCATTTATGACAAACCTACAGCCAATATCATACTGAATGCGCAAAGGCTGGACGCATTCCCCTTGAAAACTGGCACAAGACAAGAATGCCCTCTCCCTCTCTCACCACTCCTATTCAACATAGTATTGGCAGTTCTGGCAGGGCAATCAGATAAGAGATAGAAATAAAGGGTATTCAATTAGGAGAAGAGGAAGTCAAACTGTCTCTATTTGCAGATGACATGATCCTATATCTAGAAAACCCCATTGTCTCATCCCAAAAGCTTCTTATGCTGGTAAACCACTTCAGCAAAGCCTGAGGATACAAAATCAATGTGCAAAAATCACAAGCATTCCTATACACCAACAACAGACAAGCAGAGAGCCAAATCATGAATGAACTCCAATTTACAATTGCTAAAAAGAGAATAAAATACCTAGGAATATAGCTAACAAGGAATGTGAAGGACCTCTTCTAGGAGAACTATAAACCACTGCTCAAGGAAATCAGAGAGGACAAAAACAAATGGAAAAACATTTCATGCTCATAGATAGGAAGAATCAATATTGTGAAATGACCATACTTCCCAAAGTAATTTATAGATTTAATACTATTCCCATTAAAGTACAATTGACATTCTTCACTGAATTAGAAAAAACTATTTTAAAATTAATAAGGAACCAAAAAAGAGCCCAAATAGCCAAGACAATCCTAAGCCAAAAGAACAAAGCTGGAGGCATCATGTTACCTGACTTTAAATTATGCTACAAGGCTACAGTAACCAAAACAGCATGGTACTGATACAAATACCAGCACATAGCCCACTGGAATGGAATAGAGAACTCAGAAATAAGACCACACACCTACAACCATCTGATCTTTGACAAATCTGACAAAAACAAGCAATGGGTAAAGGATTCCCTATTTAACAACTGGTTCTTGGAGAACTGGCTAACCATATGCAGAGAATTGAAACTGGACCCCTTCCTCACACCTTATAAAAAAATTTAGATATAGTAAAAGCTTAAATGTAAAATTCAAAACCATAAAAACTCTAGAAGAAAATTTAGGCACCACTATTCAAACCATAGGCACAGGCAAAGATTTCATGAGGAAATGTCAAAAGCAATTGCAACAAAAGTAAAAATTAACAATTAAGATCTAATTAAGCTAAAGAGCTTCTGCACAGCAAAAGAAACTATCTTTGAAGTGAACAGGCAGCCTAAAAATTGGGAGAAAATTTTTGCAATCTACCCTTCTGATAAAGGTCTAATATCCAGAATCTACAAGTAACTGAAACAACTTTACAAGAAAGAAAAACCCATTAAAAAGTGGGCAAAAGACATAAACAGACACTTCTCAAAAGAAAACATTTATGTAGCCAAAAAAACACATGAAAAAAAAGCACAACATCAGATACTGATTTGAGTAATAATAAAACTCCGGTCTCCCACACAGCTGGCTCTGAAAGAATTACTCTTTCTCTATTGCAATTCCTCTGCCTTGATGAATCAGCTCTGTCTATGCAGTGGGCAATGTGGACCCCTTGGGCAGTTACCAATTTGGGAGCTCATCTGGGATTGCCCTTGTGGCTACCTGCCCATGGTTCAGTGGCCCCCCTTCAGCAATGGATTCAGAAGCCAACCCAAGTGGCCACCTAGTTCTCTTTTACTGTTGGCTGACTCTGGTACTCTCTCTACTGGCAGGGCACTGCTGACCCAATGTGCGTGAATTTAATTGCAAAGGAGAAATAGTCATGAGGAGATGTCCTTTAACTGTACCCTATCACAGGGTGTCTGTCCGTAGCCCCACTGTGGGATGTCTGGATTGGTGGGTAACCTAGGCCCTGCCAATGCCTCCTTCTTTCTCCCAACTGGTTCTGTAGCCCTATGGTGGGGTGTTTGTAGTACCATTGTGGGGTGTCTGTTTGTAGCTCCACCATTGGGTATCTGTGTCTGTAGCCCCATTGCAGGGTGTCTGTTTGGCACCTGGGGAGCCTCAGTTGACTCTTTCTAACTAGTAGGAAGAGTCCTGGTTTGGGAGACTTCTCAATCAGGAAGATTTTGAGAAGGTTTCTTAGATGAAGAGTAGGAGGATAGTTTGCAAGGGATACTCTTGGAGTTCTTGGTTAGCGATCTGATTTGGAAGGCCTTCTGTCCATCTTGTCTTTGTGTGTGGGTTGTGTATGTAGAAGGGATCACAGAAGGGGTTGCTGATGGAAGTTCTGCAGGCCCAACTCAGAGAACCCTCCTTATTTGTGTGGTCACATTCAATGAGCCCTAAAGAAGGCTCAACAAGCCTATATTGGAGTGACTATCTGCTCTTCACCTTGCCCAGAGACCTCATTGTGAATTACTGTTTGGAGGTTGTCCCTCCCCACCTGGAGTGCATCAAAGACAACAGGGACCGATAGGAAAAGGTTTGAGCTTTGTCAGGTTGATATTGGTTTGAAGCTCACTTTTCAAGCCAGCCCAGCAGACTGTTCAGTTTCTAACTTTGCTGCAGGTCCCTGAAACCAATACCAGATGAAATTTCTCTGTCTTGTTTTGTGTCCTTAAGAGCTTAACATTGTGACCATGTGGGAATACTTTCTCTTGGTTTCTGCTATCTAGAAGACAGGAATTTGGAGATTCATGTTATAGTTAGCTCTAAAAATTTTCTTGAGGAGTTAACAACTTTTGCAAGTTTGAAATTGGCTTCTCTAGGCTCCTTCTGGGAAGAGCAATAGAAACTGCTCAATGTTGTAACTCAGTAGCTAAGGTTTTTGCCTTTTGACAATGGCAGCCTGGGTTCTATTCTTGGCTTCTGGAATGATTCTTTCTGGTTTTTTTATTTATATAACTTTGCCATCTATTGAGGTTTTTTTCCCCCCTCATAGATAGCTTCTGATTTTCTCTCTTGAATTTTCCTTTCTCTGAACTACCTTATGGAAATTCTGAATACTTTAAAAAAAAAAAAGAAACTGCTTACGATGTCTTTGAAGCACCTAGGAGGTTACCTTTGGTAAAGTTCAGAAGCTAGAAATATTGGCCACTTGGAATGGCTGAAGTTGGGTAATAAGAGATGTGAAAGGATTTCTTTTTTAAAGAGCACTATGGTTAAAAGTCAGCTTAATTAAAAGTGGATAAACAAGCTATAGATGTATTTAAAAGGGCTTTATGTTTTTCTCTTCTTGGATCTTGTTTTTCTGGAAAAAAGTTTTTTTTTCTTCTCAGTGGACTGAATTATTTGTCTCCATTGTTTTTGTCTTGTCACTCTTAATGCACACATGAGAGACCCTAAGATAACTTCTGGTAGCCGGGGACTCCTTGGGAAAAACAGGAGGTGCTACAAGCCCCATTTTGGAAAAAAGCTCTGTTTTCCTCATGAAACCCCAGGAATTAAAAGTGGATCGATCCCTCTTAAAATAAAAGGCTCTGTTCTGTTTTGCCTTGTGTTATCTGATGGTTTTGAGTTTAGGGGTATCAGAAATTACTTCTCATTATGAAAGAGCTTGGTGTATAATAACTAGGTAGGAAATATACTTTAGGGGATGGCTAATAATAGTTATGGAGGGATAGTTGACTCTTTGCACACTTGGATCAAAGAAGCATGCTCTTGGTCACCTGGAGTATATGGAAACATCTCTGTCCCCCACTGAGAGATAAGACTCTCATGGGGGCTGATCTAATTACAAAATGGGCTGATTGGCTTTGGGTTGCCTTGCAGTGAAATGCACAATTGGTAAAAGCACTGAACTGTCTTCTCCTGTAGTATTTCCATCCTTTTGGGGATCCAGGATCCAGTATAAAAAGGTACCTTTAATTTTGGGGATCTGTCTTTGCCTTTAGCTGTGATTAGGCCCTAGAAATGCATGCTTTCCTGGCCCTGTTCCTTCAAGGGCTGCACCCTGAAGCCAGTAATCCAATTAAAAAACTGGCAAATAAAAAATCTTACAAGTGCTGAATCTTCTGTTTGTCTGTATTTATATGTGTTTCAAGTGTGTGTGATGTTTATATATAAAGGAGCTCTGATTAATTGGCTTAGAAAAATAAGAGCTTAAATGAAATATTTTGTCAGAAAAATAGAAACTTAATGCCTTCTTGTTCACATAACTTTAGTAATCTTTTGGAAACAAAGACAATTTTAAAGATTATTGGTAAAATTAAATGTCTTCAAAATGTAGACATTTGGTCTAAATTAAGGTCAGATATCAGATCTGCTAAATGCTTTAAAGTCAAATTGTTTCCTTGACTTTTGAAAATCATTCAATTTACCCACTTTGGAGCATTACATTATAGATGAGGCCTGGGACATGTGGAGAGCCATGTCCCTAGCTACGCTGAAAAGAGTCAGACCTTATCTTCACTTCTATCTGATGTCCCAGACTCCACCCCTAGTACATAATCAAAATCGCTTACTTATCAGGTTTTTCACTAAAAATAAAAGCTGCTAAGAGTTAATATTGTAACATGAAATTGAGATTACTGGAGAAATAGTTTACATACAAGGTGTGTAGGGAATGTGTTTTTGGTAAAAGATTATAAGAAGGCATAGGAATATGGCTTTTGTTAAAGGGAATGTAATTTTGTCTAGTTTAGGGTCTTTAAAGATTGTCTTAACCTAAAAGAGTAATGAGGTGAAACTGAAGCTTTAAGCAAAGTGAAAAGGGTTTGTAAAGGGTTAATCTTATAAAAAATTATTTGGGTATAAACAAGGTGGCTAAGATTTAAAAGAAATTATTTAGATTTTTTTCTGTAGTTTAAAAACCTAAAAATCATACCGATGTGGGGCCAGAATCTGAGCCCATGTGTCGGAATAACAGTGTTTTCTCAGAAAATTGATCTGCTTTTTGATGGAACATTGTAAGGGGTTTTAAAAAGTTTATGAAAATCTTACCTTATGGTCAAACTAATTAAAACCGATAGAGATATAAAATTTTATTTTAAAAAACTAGCTTTAACATTGAAGATGCACTAATGCAAACATGACATTTGGCTTTCTCTTTTGAAGATGATTTTTATGTAATGTTAAAAGATAATGAAAGGGTTTTGTTTTCTACTTTGGGTGAATAGCAGGAAAAAAAATGGAGGAGAGAGAAGAGACAAATTGAGTTAGCCTCTTGCTGTCTTTATTGGGTCTTGTTTGGAAAGCTAAGTCTCCTATCAGTGTAAAGGTTTTCTTTTAAGATTTTGGAGTTATCACTTTGGCCAAATGAATGACGTGGTGACCTGGGATTCTATTTTATGATATCCAGTGTTTTAAACCTTTGATATCTGACAAACTTTCCAAAATCAAATTATAAATTATGTTTCTTTCTAGCCTAATATTTTAGATATTAGGTCCTCTAAAGTCCAAAAATGACATTTGGCTTATTTGGTTCAAAAATCATACAGGAAGCATTGTCAAATATGACATAATGTTTGGCTTTCTTTGGTCTACATTTGTGTAAACATGTTATTGGTATTTGTTCTGAATATGTAAAACTCTTATAATTCTAATATGACTTAGTATATGCTATCAATAATAATTATAATTATTACGTTAACAGACTGTGTGCCACAGAGGTGACAAATTTCCTTATCAATCATATCTTTAACTGTGGCTTCCCTAAAATGTTTTGTCATCCATAGACAATTGTGGTCTTACTTTGGTCCTCTTTAAAAGATGGTTTTATAATCAGCTATAAAATTTAACAGGTGCTCTTAAATGCAGGATTCTGATTCATAATGCTGGAGATTGTGACAGTAGAGTAGAGAAAAATCTTTCAAATAGAAGAGTGAATGGTGTTTGGTTTACTTTGGACTATATTTGTATAAATATGTTATTAGTATGTGTTCCAAAATTATGGGAAACTTCTATAATGTTGATATAATATTGTGTACATTATCAATAATTATAATTGTTATGTAAAATTGTTACATGCCACTGAAGTAAACAAAATTTCTAGTCAATTGTAGCTTTAATAGTGGCTATAGACTTTTGTCATCCACAGATATTTTGTCTTGCTTTCAAAAGGCAGTTTATAATCAGATATAGGACTCTAAGTGTAGGTCTCAGATAACTTTAAAAATTGTGCTATTGGAATAGAGGAAAAATCCCAAAATTCTAAGACTCTCATGGAGAGCTAATGTGTTAAACATGGCTAAACCTTTTGTTTTCAGAGTCAAGAGAACTTATTTCTTTAGAGCTATTTGCAACTTTTAACAAGTGAGTAAAATATATTCCTGTGAACAAAATTTGGAGCATATTGTTCCTCTCTACTAGATTTCTCCAGAATTTGGAAACTATTTGTGAATAGTCTCAATTTATGGCAGTATAGTTAATTGCATAAGTGCAATAAGAATCTGTTTTCTTTTGTAACAGGACACAATTGGAGAACCTGGTTATTTTACCAGGGCTTTGACTGGAAAGAAATGCTTCCTTTAAAGAATCAAAGTTGACTTATAGAGCCAATTATAGCCCACTGGGGGATCTGGCTTCATACCTTGTCCACACAGAGTCCCTGTACAAGGTTCTTAACCTGTGGTAAGTAAAGAATGCCATTTTCTAACAGGCCCAGGAACCCCGAGTTATCTTGGGACCTCAAGAGGAGAGGAATTTGTCCAACTCATTGGTATTTGAAGGTACAAACCCATGGC
Organism: Homo sapiens; assembly: GCF_000001405.40. Classification (NCBI taxonomy): domain Eukaryota; kingdom Metazoa; phylum Chordata; class Mammalia; order Primates; family Hominidae; genus Homo; species Homo sapiens. The sequence continues at coordinate 30,369,817 of NC_000012.12, read as the reverse complement.
TGGGCTCGGCTTTTAAAAAGTCTTACCTGAGATTCTTCATCAAACAGAGTTCCATCAAGCCAAATAAAAAAGCCTAAGTGAAAAGTAATTATTCTTGCTGTACTTTATGCAAATAACCAGGCCAAGTACAGTAAGACTAAAGTTTGTTTTGTAAACAAATCAGTTCTATCATGATTTGTTTTTAATAAAAATGGGGACTGGAGAGAGAGAAATTGTGCTTCAAAAGAAAAACTATAGTACACTGTTGTTAGCCATTCTTGAGGTTTTTTTTTTCTGCAGTTTAGACTAAATTCTAAATTCTTCATGGGTTAGAGGTCCCCAAACTAATGCTTTCAAATCTTTGCTTTTAAAATTGGGAATTGTACTCCTCATTATTTACCTTGTAGTAGGCTGTTCACTTAAAAACTGTGGTAAAACTATAGCTGAGAGTACTGATGTTTTTGCCATGCAAGTCTTGAAAGCCCAGCCAGGCCTGCATGAGTACACTCAGACAGTTGCAAAGCAGTTCCACTCTTCTCACCTTGGGGTTCACTCCCATTCCCACTATGTCCCCTGTCAGCAGGAAGAAGCCAGAGCAATCAGGCCTTTTCCCATCTTCATAGCCTACACCTTAAGATTGAGGTGTTATAAAACCCAAAGGGAGGGACTGAAACTGCCTTTGCAAAATTGTGACTGAGACAGTGAAAAAGATCTAACTTAACTGACCCCATCTTGCTTCTAACCTCCAAGCTGTCCTTGTTCATTCCTGGGTGTAGACTGAACTAACTTTGGGAGAAACTTAGTTTATATTTTATAGTTTAAACAAAGATGGTAACAGCCCTTTCCCAAAGCAGATCTCCATCTTGCCTGGGGATTAGATTGCCTTTGTAGGACTAACATTAGCCACAAGATTAGAAATTATGGTTTAGCAGTCATGCAGCTGGAGGCCTCAAGATTCTGACTCTCCCTAAACTGCTCCTAAGATCAGTGTCTGAGATATTTTGCAGACCCTGCACTTGATGGATCAGCTGACCCCACCCAGACCAATAAAGTGGCTCATCTGATCTGGTGGCCGCCACCCAGGAACTGACTGAGCGCAAGAAGACAGCTCCAACTCCCTATGATTTCATCTCTGACCAATCAGCACTCCTGGATCACTGGCTTCCCCCAACCCACCAAGTTATCCTTAAAAACTCTTCTCCCTGAATGTTCAGGGAGACTGATTTGTGTAATAATAAAACTGGTCTCCCCCCACACACAAACACAAAGTGCAATATCACTGATCAATCAATGTAGAAGAGAAAGTAGCATTTCCTCAAAGACCTAGAACCAGAAATACCATTTGACCAGGCAATTTCATTACGGGGTATATACCCAAAGGAAAATAAATCATTCTATTATAAAGATACATGCATGTGTATGTTCATTGCAGCACTGTTTACAATAGCAAAGACATGGAATCAACCCAAATGCCTATCAATGGTAGACTGGATAAAGAAAACGTGGTACATATACACCATGGGATAATATGTAGCCATAAAAAGGAAGGAGATCATGTCCTTTGTAGAGACATGGATGGATCTGGAAGCTGTTATCCTCAGCAAACTAATACAGGAACAGAAAACCCAACACTGAATGTTCTCACTTATAGGTGGGAACTGAATGATAAGAACACATGGACCCATTGGGGGAATAACACACACTGGGGCCTGTCAAGGGGTTCAGGGCAGGGAGAACATCAGAAAAGATAGCTAATGTATGCTAAGCTTATACCTAAGTGATGGGTTGACAGGTGCAGCAAACCACCATGGCACATGTTTACCTATGTAACAAACCTGCATATCCTCCACATGTAACCTGGAACTTAAAATAAAATAAGAACAAAGACATTTTCCAGTCCCTCACTCCCTATGATCCCCTTAAAGACACTTGCCCAGAACTCCTTGACACAACAAATTTAAGGCTTGAGAATTCCTATTATTACTTTTATCAGTAGTCATGTAATTATTAAAAACTCTTCCTCCACAGCAAACCCCACTGTCCACTGTTTTAGTGTATTGGTCTTTTACTGCACAGCAGGCATACAAACCTGGCAGTCCTGTAACAATAGGATTAAGAAAGTTGAAATGTTTTGACACACAGGTCATAAGTTGCTAATCTCAGCCCCTAGAGCCCCTTGCTGGTCACCAGGGAAATTACTGACTTTGGGACAAGGTGTGAAAAGTGGCTGGACCTTAAATGTCAGTAGCACAGAGAGTCGTGTGCCTGCTGTGAGCTGAAAGATGAAGAGTCAAGATCCCTCAAATCCAGGGATCCACTAGAGTATCTGAGAATCTGCTGCTAGTTCCATTCCAAGATGGCCAAATAGGAACAGCTCCAGTCTGTAGCTCCCAGTGTGATCAATGCAAAAGATGTGTGATTTCTGCATTTCCAACTGAGGTACCTGGTTCATCTCATTGGGACTGGTTGGACAGTGGGTGCAGCCCAAGGAGGCCAAGTCAAAGCAGGGCGGGGCATTGCCTCACCCAGGAAGTGCAAGGGGTCAAGGGATTTCCCTTTCCTAGCCAAGGGAAGATGTGACAGACTGTACCTGGAAAATCAGTACACTCCCACCCAAGTACTGCACTTTTCCCATGGTCTTAGCAACCGGCAGACCAGGAGATTCTCTCCTGTGCCTGGCTTGGTGGGTCCCATGCCCATGGAGCCTTGCTCGCTGCTAGCGCAGCAGTCTGCAACTGACCTGTGAGGCTGCAGCCTGGCGGGGGGAGGGGCGTCCACCATTGCTGAGGCTTGAGTAGGTAAACAAAGTGGCTGGGAAGCTCGAACTCAGCAGAGCCCACTGAAGCTCAGCAAGGCCTACTGCCTCGATAGACTCCACCTCTGGGGGCAGGGCATAGCTGAACAAAAGGCAGCAGAAACTTCTGCAGACTTAAACGTCTCTGTCTGACAGCTCTGAAGAGAGCAGTGGTTCTCCCAGCATGTCATTTGAGCTCTGAGAACAAACGGACTTTCTCCTCAAGTGGGTCCCTGACCCCTGTGTAGCCAAACTGGGAGACCCCTCCCAGTAGGGGCAGACAGACACCTCATACAGGAGGGTGCCCCTCTGGGACAAAGCTTCCAGAGGAAGGATCAGGCAGCAATATTTGCTGTTCTGCAGCCTCTGCTGGTGATACCCAGGAAAACAGGGTCTGGAGTGGATCTCCAGCAAACTCCAACAGACCTGCAGCTGAGGGACCTGACTGTTAGAAGGAAAACTAACAAACAGAAAGGAATAGCATCACCATCAACAAAAACAACATCCACACCAAAACCTCATCAGTAGGTCACCAACATCAAAGACCAAAGTTAGATAAAACAACAAAGATGGAGAGAAACCAGAGCAGACAAGCTGAAAATTCTCAAAACCAGAGTGCCTCTTCTCCTCCAAAGGATCGCAGCTCCTTGCCAGCAACAGAACAAAGCTGGATGCAGAATGACTTTGACAAGTTGACAGAAGTAGGCTTCAGAAGGTCGGTAATAACAAATTTCTCTGAGCTAAAGGAGCATGTTCTAACCCATTGCAAGGAAGCTAAAAACCTTGAAAAAAGGTTAGACAAATGGCTAACTAGGATAAACAGTGTAGAGAAGACCTTAAATGACCTGATGAAGCTGAAAACCATGGCACGAGAACATGACGCATGCACAAGCTTCAATAGCTGATTCAATCAAGTGGAAGAAAGGGTATCAGTGATTGAAGATCAAATTAATGAAATAAAGTGAGAAGATAAGATTAGAGGAAAAAAGAATAAAAAGAAATGAACAAAGCCTCCAAGAAATATGGGACTATGTGAGAAGACCAAATCTATGTTTGATTGGTATACCTGAAAGTGATGGGGAGAATGGAACCAAGCTGGAAAACACGTGCATCCCTTTGTTCATATAAATAGGATTTCTGACATAAGACATTTGTTTTAGATAGGATTTCTGTCATAGAATCATAAGGCTTTTGTTTAAGAATTGCTTAAGCTGTTTTTTCGATTCTGAATTCCAGTAAAACAGATAATGCCAACCATTTTGAAGATGCCCACAGTGGAACGGAATCAGCATGAGAATACAACTTTATCTCCCTTCACCTGCATTATTTTACCAATCTTCACATTTTAGCCTACTCCAAAACCCTCGAAAACTCTAGCCACAGACACCTTGGGGAGATAGATTTGAGGCTTGCTCTCATCTTCTCTTGAGGCAGCCTTATGCTTAAACTTCTTTCTCTGTTGCAACCTGGTATTGACTTGCTGTGTGCATATGGCAATGGACCTATTATGGTTACAGTATCAGTTTTTCATTCCTTTTGGTGGCTGGGTAGTGTTTTGTTGGATGTATATACCACAATATATTTCTTCATTCCTCTTCTAATGTACATCTGTGATGTTTCCACTTTTGGGCTGTTGTGAATAGTGTTGCTATGAATATACATGTACATGTATTTGACCAGCTATTGTTTCTTTTGAGTAGATACCTAGGAGTGAATTTATTGGGTCATATAGCAATTTCATGTTTAAATTTTAGAGTAACTGTCAAATTATTTTTCACAGCACCTTATATGCATGATACTTTTATGAAAGAAAAATAAAACCTTGGAACCTTAAACTCACTATATCATAAGGGAAAGTTAAACTTGGAAACTGAATCACATACAAAAATCTGCCTTTCTTTTTCTTCCTAAACAGATATCTCTCCAGGTGGCCCCCATCACCCTGACAATGTAAATTAACAGCTTATCATCATAAGTATAAGACAAGAGACTAGAAATCATCCCACTGCCCACCCAGAGATGAATGCATATTTAACTTCTTCTTCTACAGTATGTTTACTTTAGCTTATGTAAAGTGCAGATTTACTGAGTGTGAAACAAATACATAATTGACTGACCCTCTATGCCAATATATACAAAAGAGCTCTAATTAATTGGTTTAAAGAAAAAAGTGCATAAGTCAGATATTTTGTCAGAGAAATAGAAATTTTAACTCAAATGCCTTTTAGTTCACATAACTTTAATAATCTTTGGTGAGGACAGTTCTAAAGTTGTTGGTAAAATAAAATAGAAACGTCTTCAAAAATTTCATTTAAGCATCTCTCTGGCCTGAATTAGTCAAGCAGTCAGATACTATCTATACTAGATGTTTTAAGATATTAATGCTGCTTCTGGAATACTTTTAATACTTGTTTAACTTTTGTATAAACTAATATCTTTAGATATGAGCCTTTGGCCAGGGCCCAGGCATTACCTTTTGACCTGGACTATGCATTTGGTACATAATTAAAATTGCTTATCTCATAGCTTTTTCACTAAAAATATGGTCACTAAGAGTTAACGTAACAATTAATCAATGTAATTAAAACTACTAGATACATACAAACAGTATAAGAAAAGTAAGATGTATTTTCAATAAAAAGTTAAAAAGATGTGATACTGTGATTTTCATCAAAGAGAAAGCAGTTTTATCTAGAGGTTTTTAAGGATTTTTTAAAATTAAGGGATAATAGAACAAAACTGAAGATTTAAGCATGTTTTAAAATTGATTGTGGGAGATAAGTCTTGTAAAAGGAATTCTAAATGTGATCAAGTTGGCTAAACTTTGAAGTGTATTATTTAGTTTTTCTATAAATTAAACATTAAAATAAAAAGCACACTGAGGCAGGGCCAAAATCTGGGCCTCCATGTTGAAATAACAGGGATTTTTTTCAGCATTGATCTACTCGTTAATGGAAAGTTATAAAAGATTTATGGAAATCTTACCTTATGATCAAACTGATTAAAACTTGATAGATTTATTTATAAGACTTTACTAAAATTACCTTTAGCATACACTAATGGAAAGGTATAATTTGTTTTCCTCTTTGAACAATATTTTTGTGTAATATTAACAGATAGTGGGAGATTTTAATTTGTCCTTTGAATAAACTACCAAAAAGAAGAAAGGGAGAGAGAAAGATAGATTCAGTTGGCCTATGCTGTCTTTATTAGGACTTATTGTTTGGGAAAGCAAGTATCTTCACTATTAAAGAGTAAAAGTTTTTATTTTTTCAAAGTCTTTGAATTGCCAATTTGGCTAAATGAATGAATGGTTTTAAAGTAACCTTTGATGCTATTTCATGATATCAACTGTTTAAAACCTTTGATATTTAACAAATGTTCCAAAATTAAAATCTAAATTCAGTCTTTTGACCTTAAACTGACTTTTTATAAGTCCAAGAGAGACATATTTGGCTTATTTAATGTGTTAAAAGCATACAGGAAACATTATCAAGTATAAAATGGTGTTTAACTTTTTTGAGGTAAATTGACATAAATGTGTTACTGAGTATGTGTTTCAAATTTCTATAATTCTGAAATGTCTTCAGAAATGTTATTGGTAATAATTATCATTATGATGTTACACTATTATATGCCATAACAAATGTCCTTATCATTGTGTCTTTAACTGTGACTATTTTAAGACTTTTGTCATCCACAATTATTGTTTTACTTTGATCCTTTTCAAAACGGGAGTTTCTAATCAGCTATAGGACTCTTATGAGTGCTCTGAAAGGCAGGTTTCTAATAACTTTGGAGATTGTGCCATTGAACTAGAAAAATTTCCAGGACTGTAATTAAAAAGCTGATGTGTTCATAAGGATTGCTAACTGAATATCAAGTGGAATGAGTTAGTTACATGGGACTGAACTAATAGAGGACTGAAATAATTTTTATATTTTTGCAACATTGCTGATTCATTTTGTTTTGTTTTTCAGAGTGAAGAAAACTTTTTTGAGCTATTTATAGCTTTTAACAATTGAGTAAAAGTATTCTCTTGTGAGCAAAATTTGAAGGATATTTCTTTCTCTCAACATAATTTCTCCAGAATTTGGAAACTATTTGTGAGTATTCTTAATTTATGACAAAATAGTTAATTGCATAAGTTCAACAAAATTCTACTTTCTTTTACAACAGGGTGCAATTTTAGACACTGGTATTTTACAAAGGCTTTGACTGAATGGCATATTTTCAGGTATGACCAGACTGCTTTGAGAAATTGAAGGTGACTTACAGGTGAAAGCTTCTTAGGAAAACCAGCCTCACACCTTACCTATGCAGTTTCTGAGAGTGTTCTTGATCTGTGATAAATAAGTCACTTTCTGACAGGCCCAGGAATACCAGGTTGTCTTGGGACCTTAAGAAGAGAGGACTTCACCCAAACTCATACACCTATCTGCAGCACAGATAAATCCCTGGCTGGGCTCAAGGCTTTTGAAAAGTCGAATCTGAGGGTATACATATATATATATATACATATATATATATATATATATACATATATATATATATATATATAGACACACACATATATATATACACACATTTATATATATACACATATACACACACACACATATTTATATGAGCTCCAACAAAGCCAATATTAAAAAATGAAGCCTATGTAGAAAACAATTATTCTTGCCAAACATTATGCAAATAATGAGATTATGTATAAATAAGACAAAAATTTATTTTGCAAATAATTTAGTCCTACTATGATTTGTCATTGGTAAAAATGGAGGACTAGAGAGAAAAAACATGTTTCAAAAGAAACTATAGAACACCTGCTGTTAGATCCTTGTCCTTTGCTTTTCAGTTTTATTGTCTACAATTTATTTTGACTGAATCCTGAATTCTTTCCTGGCTACAAGTCTCCAGACTAATGTTTTTTTTCTCCTTTTTCTTTCATTTTTCTCCCATTTTTTCTCTGACTTGGAATCATTAGAAATTAAAACTGTGCTTTTCTTAAAGCCCTGTGAACTGAAGCTAGACAACTTAAACTTTGGGAGAAATAATAGCAACTTATTTATATATATAAACCATGTTTGTACCTGCCTACCGATATATGGACCTCAGAGTAGTATGGCCTAAATCAGTTTTTCAAGATTGCTTTCCACTTTTGTTGTTATGATCTTTTCTCCTTTTTTCCTTCACTTTCATTCTCTCTTCCTCCCCCTATTTTTCTCTGTGGGACATGAGACTTTACAATCTGCTACCAATGAGCCCCTTCAACAATGTGGAACCTAACCATCTAGGAATAAACTGTCCCAATGACTGGGGATCAGACCAAACCTGTGATTAAAGACTCATTTTTTTCTACAATGCTTTCTCCAAAATATTTTTAAGAAGAAAGGGAAATGTGAAAGGAAAATAAAATAGCTGACAAAAGGGAAAGTAAGCTTGGAAACTGAGTCACACACACACACACACACACACACACACACACACACACAAACTGCCTTTCCTTTTCTTCATAAATAGATATTTCCCCAGGTGGTCTCCCTCACCCTGATAATGTAAATTAACATCTTATTCTCTTAAGTATGGGACAAGAGGAGACTAGAAATCATCCCACAGTCCACTCTGAGATGAATGCATATTTAACTTCTTCCTCTACTCTATGTTTACTTGAGCTTATGTAAACTGAAGGTTTACTGAGCATGAGACAAATACATAATTCATAATGGACTGTTCCTCTACCCCTTCCTTTTCACGTGCAACATGTGGATTCAGTGAGCATTAATCAAAGCTTCATAAGAATGTGACCATATGCTCCCTCTTTTTTTTCTTTTCTCCTTTCTTTCCCTGCTTACTTTTTCCCTCTTAATATTGAAGCCCTCAAAATCCTCTTTGGAAAAAGCATGGACCACAGATGCAACTGTGGCTTGTGTCTCTTTTTCCTAGGGATGTCCTCAATCTTGGGAAAATAAACCTTTAAATTGATTAAGATCTGTCTCAGACACTCTTTTTGCTTTACACCTTCCAATAAAATGTTAATAAAGCCACAATAAAAAGAAGAATATAGGCCCTGTAGTGAAACTGCTGAGTTTCAAATGATGACTTCCACTTGTGTGACCTTGTATGTTTGGCCCTTGAGTTCTTAGAACCTCAGTTTGTTTCCTCTAAAATGGGGGTAATATTTACCTGATAAGGTTTTGCATAGATAAAATTTAAAAAATCATGTAAAGTACTTAGCACTGTACTGGACACATAAAGAAAGAACTGAGCAAGAGAACGCAGACAGAAAAGGAGAAAATTCTCAATTCCTAGTAAGGAGGCTGATGAAAAAGTACAGAACAGTATGTTTCCATGTAGAAATAAAACAAGTATGTTGGGATGGAAAGTTTTGATAAAAAATTCACAGATCTGGCAGGGTGCGGTGGCTCACGCCTGTAATCCCAGCACTTTGGGAGGCCAAGGTGGGTGGATCATGAGGTCAGGAGATCCAGACCATCCTGGCTAACACGGTGAAACCCCATCTCTACTAAAAATACAAAAAATTAGCTGGGCGTGGTGGTGGGCGCCTGTAGTTTCGCTACTCGGGAGGCTGTGGCAGGAGAATGGCGTGAACTGGGGAGGCGGAACTTGCAGTGAGCCAAGATGATGCCACTGCACTCCAACCTGGGCGACAGAGTGAGACTCCGTCTCAAAAAAAAAAAAAAATTCACAGATCTCCCCTGTGTCCGCCCCCCGCCCCTCAAAAAAAGACAGAAAAATAAAACCTGGAAAAAAAAAAGACTAGATCATAGTTTTTTGATGCATGGTATAGATCCAGCAACTTTTTAGTAGGTTTTCTGTGTATTTTATTACCATGTGATCAACTAACCACAATTTGAGATCCCTATTGGCCAAAAGCAATCTGATTACCTGTATGTTGCTGCTGACCTTTGTGATAACTATTCCCACCTTGTCTTTATCAGTGACATGCTGCCTCTTGGCTGCCATTACTCCAGGACTTTATTAATTCCATTGAAATCAGGGTAGCCTCCCCTCTGGTCACATTTAGTCTGTGAATGGGAGCGACCACTGAGCTTTTAAAGGATACAGGTGTTCCCTCACTATTTATAAACATCTTAGTGAAGGGAGGGCCTTCTAAGCTTTCTCAGAAGATGTGATTGGGAGATGGGTATGCATGTTACACACCAATATTTCTGTCTCCCTAAGCCTTTGGATTCCTTCCTCCACACCATGCATAGACATACTGGCATCTCATCCTCATTAAATGGGGGCACTGCTGAGTTCAAGTTTCAGTTAACCAACTAAGTAAGATCTTAGAGCCACTTCCAGCAGCATAATTTAAAATATGACATTTAGAATCTCTAGTCAGTGAACTTATATAAATGAATTTAGTTTGACACGGTGTTATATTTTACTCTTTTTGGTCTAACTCTCCTAGAATCCACTTCCATACACATTCCCAGGTTTCAGTCAATATATATGTTAGAAAATCTTGCAACTATTTTATTTATAATATTGGCTGTTTTCTCCAGGGTCATACTGTATATCTAAGTCCCAGAAACATGCTGCGATTTGACTCAAGTTGTGGGTATAAGGACAATATGGGATAATTACAGTGGGTCTTGAGGATAATTAACATCCCTTTGAAAGCATCTGTTCCAGATGAAGTTATCATAGGGTGTTCCAGCAAAGGAAGGCTAGTCATGGTAGAAGTGATCTACTGCCACTGTCAAAGGTGCTCATAGTGAGTTGTGGATTTGAGATTTTCAATTTCCTTTGAATCCTACTAGATTTCCCAATTCCAAGTTTCAGGGCCTCATTATTTCTCAATCAGTTCCCTAATGGTTACATGGAAATCTTGTGAAGGCCATGAATTCAACTGTTATTGTAATCCAGCCACTTGCACAGTTAAATTTTGTATTTGATTTTCAGCAATAGTGGCTCTGTGGTTACAAGAAACGATATATATGACTGCCACGGAAATGCTCTGATTCTCTGACTATGACCTTGAGCTTGTCCTTTCCTTTCTGAAAGTGCAGCAATGCACTTGAGAAAACCAAGTCCACACCACAGTCCTTGTTGTCATTACTGCTTCTTTAACAATCACGTTCCGCAGTCACTTGGGCTCCCAAGGCATTTGCTTTAGTTAGCACTTCATCACAATCAACCACAGGTGATAATATAACTTATTGGAATACCACATTATGTCACAGATAATTAGCATCCAATTTCATTTTGGCAAGAAACTCAGTACTGCCCTCAAACCTAATTATGTGCAGAACCCATTTCCAAATCCCATTTTTGAAAGTCTGTCTCCTCAGATGACTCCAAATACTAATTCTATATCAGGATTCAATCTGGGAACAGAAACTACACCAGTAATTTGAACAAGAAATATTTAATATAAAAAATTATAACTTGTAAATTGATGATTAACTATCAAACTGGAAGCAGCAAACAAAAAAATGCAGCTACTACCTCTAGGGCTGAAGGAAGATGAATTAAGGAGGAACTGAGAAAAAAAAGCTGTCGTTACCACCCACTTCAACACGATTCAGACCTTCTTGGAGAGGTTTGGCTGCCCTAAGTGCACACATTCTTCCGGTGGTGAAGAAAATTTCCAGAGAGCATGGGCCAGGCTGGCCCCTAGGAGTGGCCTACTGGGTAGAGGAGAAACTTGCAAGAGGGTACCAGTTCCCTGAAGCTGATCTTCAAGAGCTATTGAGATAAGCACAACTAGGCCTTTCACACACCACTCTACTGGCTGCCACGGTGATAAATAGCACACCCAAATTGGAAAGGAAGTCCCTTTATCCTGCTGTGGCGTTACAGTGTCCTTTCAGTGCCTTCTATTAACAAAGCCTCTAGTAGCATTGAGCCAGCTGGCAAAGAAGAAATGTTTATAGGATCCAGCTCTAGTATCACAAAGCAGGGTAAAGGGGTAGATTTAGAGTTGAGAGGCAATAAATTAATACGTAGGAACTGAAGGCTCAGCTGAACTGTCAAGCCGATGCCTACATGTGGTCTCTCTGGCATGGCATTGTAGAATGGCCTAACTTCTTTTGTGGTGGCTGAAGACTCCAGGAACAAACTCTCTCAGTGAACAAGGCTGAGGCTGCTGCACAGACGTTGTGCAACCTCACCTCAGCTGTACTGCACTTAAGCAGCCACAAGCTCACTGAGATTGCATGAAAGGAGGCAGAGATCCCCGCTTTCAATAAAAGGAGCATGGAATAATTTACAGGTGGTTTATAACCTTCACACCACATCATATTAATTATCTTGATAAAATTAACCTCATGAATAATAGATGTCAAAAGAGTGGTTCACCAATTATTTGCTATTTTTCTTAACTCAGACTCCATTTCATGAAAGTGGATGTAATTTAATATTTTATTTTCAAGGTTATTTCCAACTTTTGTAAGAGCTCCTCTTCTTTTCTCAATACTTTCTTCAATTCTTTCTCATATGAGTTTTCTTTGTCTAATGATATGTTACAGCACATATTGTCATAGAATTATTCCTCTTCTTGGGTGGTAGAAACACTTTGGTCTTTTGTTATAGACCTCACGATGGCTATGTCATTGAAACTTGATTTTTTTTGGAGTCAGGAAGGTGATGATGGCAGGACCTGTGGGAACAGTAACTTTCAAGCAACATTTGATATTAAACCAACTATGGTAATTATTGTAAAACCACTTATTAAAACAAGCTTATGTCAGTTTATACCAATGATCCTATCATCTGAATACAGTTCAAATGTCTTCATACCCTTTTCTGATCTTTAGTTCCATATGCAATCAAAGCTTTACATCATTTACTATATATATTTTATATATATATAATAACATAATAAAATGGCGATGGCCTCTGCCAATGCTTAGTATTCTTTAGTGTTACTGGAATGCAAGCATATTTAGTTCATTTTAAGGTACTGCAGGAAGAGGTTGGGAATATTTTACTAGAAAAGGTGTCCAGGTCTCCTCATTTTATAATCGGAGAGATAGAAATGGTAAAGACTGTTGGAAAACTTTTAAAAGCTGTTTGTTTTAGTCTAGTATTGCTAGTCTCCTTAATTATGGTCTGTGTTCATTGGGGGAGTGCCTTTAGAGAACAGGGTTTTGTCCTACAGAGCTCTCCCGACTTTAACGTTATTTAGGTTAGTTGATTTATCCAAGATGGGTTCTTAATTTCATTATTGCGTATTTATAGAAATACAGAGATTTCCAGGAAATTATTCTTTATTGAGGCTAAAAAGAGGGTTTTAGTTTGTTTTGTTTTAAAATCATTACTAATATTTCCTAGCCACTAGCAGAAAATGTTGAGATTCTTTCTAAGTCAGACTCCGGCATATGTGGTAAAAGAGAAATTACCTTGATGTATTTTCTGAACCCTTATTGCTTTGATGTTTGACCTGAGCTCAACATTAAAATGGATCGTTATAATGAAGTGCTTCTGGGCTTATTTCAGAACTTAGCACTGAAAGCTTTTCCAAATAAATCACATGCTAAGGAAGCAAATTTCTTTCAATTTATGGATGGCAGTGGGTGGAGTCCCTAGCTGCTGATGTCCTTGGATTTTGCTTAGTGTGGATTGGGAACTGGTGTTGGCAAAATTCAGTCTCTTGTGTGAATTTCAGCTAAGGGTTGAAGAGTTCTTTCTTTTCTCGAAATAGGCCAGTGGCTCTCAAAGTGTGGTCCCTTGGAATGCTGGGGATTGCCAAGATCTTTTCAATGAGTCCACAGGGTCAAAACTATTTTTATTGTAATACTAAGATGTTATTTGACTTTTTCACTATGTTGACATTTGCAGTGGTGTACAGAAGCAATGGTGGGTAAAACTGCCTTTTGCCCAAATCAAAGCACTGGCACTCATTGTATTTCCTCACTATCAGGTACTTGCAATCCCTGATGAAGCAATAAAAATATTGATTTTACTAAATCTTCACCCTTTAGTAAATTTCTGTCTAATATTTTGTGTGGTGAAGTGAGATGTACACATAAACCACTTATGCTGCATACTGAAACAAGATGGTTGTAATGCACCTGTGTAATGCTTGGATTGCAAACTAGCTGCTTTCTTCAGGGAATACTCTTTTTACTTGAAAGAATGACTGGAAGACAAACTATTTTTTAGATTTAGTTTAGATTTGGGGATTTGGGAGACTTTTTCTTGAAAATGAGTGAAGTGTGCCATCACTTCAAAGAAAATAACTGATGGCATTTACTGCCAAAGGCAGAAATTGTACTTTCAAGTTGTGATGGTTAATTTAGGTATTAACTTGACTAGATTGAGGGATGCCTACATGGCTGGTGAAGCATTGTGATTGGGTGTGTCTAGGAGGGAGTATCTTGAGGAAGGAGATTGGCATGTGAGTCTACCTGAGAGAGGAAGACCTGCCCTCAGTGTGGGCAGGCACCTCCAAAGGGCTGGGGGACCAGCTGGGACAAATGGACAGAAAAAGTGGTATTCACATGCGTTCTCTTTGTCTCTCTCTCCTCTGTCTCTCCCTTCTGGAGGAAGACGCTTTTTCTCCTTCTCTCTTTGGACATCAGATTCCAGGTTCTTCGGCTTTTGGACTGTGGGACTTGCACCAGCAGCCTCTTGGGGGCTCTTGGGCCTGACTAGGGGGTTGTACCATTGACTTTCTTGGGTCTAAGGCTGCTGAACCTGGACTGAACCATGCTACTGGCTTGAGCCATGCTACCAGCTGCTTTGGTTCTTCAGCTAGCAGATGGCCTGTAGTGGGACTTTGTCTCTGTGACCCTGTGAGTAAATTCCCTCTAATAAATCCCCTACCAGGCATTCTACTGGTTCTGTCTCTCTGGAAAACCCTGAATAATACATAACTGAAAATCAGAATTTTGGAAAATCTGTACCTGCACCATAAATTTCCTAGTACTTAAAGTATTTTCTGATAACATAGGTTGAATGTTAATGAATATGATTTTTTATATCATATAGGGAAATGGCTCATCATTTGGAAGAGCTGCATAACTCAGTGAATGAATAATGTACAAATGACTAATGCATGATGTAACAACATCATGCATTAAAAAAGATCTAATGTTTTAATGTAACAGGACACTAAAAATTTATTTGATAAGGTTTAAGATTAAATTGCAACTAATCTTCAAGCAATGACCACTTATCCATTTTTGGTGTAGTATCAAAGAAAAATATTCCTTTGTCAGATGAGTAGTTTGCGAAAATTTTCTCCCATTTTGTAGGTTGCCTGTTCACTCTGATGGTAGTTTCTTTTGCTGTGCAGAAGCTGTTTAGTTGAATTAGATCCCATTTGTCAATTTTGTCTTTTGTTGCCATTGCTTTTGGTGTTTTAGACATGAAGTCCTTGCCCATGCCTATGTCCTGAATGGTAATGCCTAGGTTTTCTTCTAGGGTTTTTATGGTTTTAGGTCTAACGTTTAAGTCTTTAATCCATCTTGAATTGATTTTTGTATAAGGTGTAAGGAAGGGATCCAGTTTCAGCTTTCTACGTGTGGCTAGCCAGTTCTCCCAGCACCATTTATTAAATAGGGAATCCTTTCCCCATTGCTTGTTTTTCTCAGGTTTGTCAAAGATCAGATAGTTGTAGATATGCGGCATTATTTGGTGGGACTGTAAACTAGTTCAACCATTGTGGAAGTCAGTGTGGCGATTCCTCAGGGATCTAGAACTAGAAATACCATTTGACCTAGCCATCCCATTACTGGGTATATACCCAAAGGACTATAAATCATGCTGCTATAAAGACACATGCACACGTATGTTTATTGTGGCATTATTCACAATAGCAAAGACTTGGAACCAGCCCAAATGTCCAACAGTGATAGACTGGATTAAGAAAATGTGGCACATATACACCATGGAATACTATGCAGCCATAAAAAATGATGAGTTCATGTCCTTTGTAGGGACATGGATGAAATTGGAAATCATCATTCTCAGTAAACTATCGCAAGAACAAAAAACCAAACACCACATATTCCCACTCATAGGTGGGAATTGAACAATGAGATCACGTGGACACAGGAAGGGGAACATCACACTCTGGGGACTGTTGTGGGGTGGGGGGAGGGGGGAGGGATAGCATTGGGAGATATACCTAATGCTAGATGACGAGTTAGTGGGTGCAGCGCACCAGCATGGCACATGTATATATATGTAACTAACCTGCACAATGTGCACATGTACCCTAAAACTTAAAGTATAATAATAAAAAAAATAAAATAAAATAAAATAAAATAAGAGAAGGAAAAAAAAAGAAAAATATCTACAATTATCTAAAGAGCAATAAAATACTGCTCCCTTCTCTAACTACATCTCTGTGAAAGGATGGATTTTTTTTTCATGTATTTCAATTAAGACAACAAATCACAACAGAATGAATGTAGAAACAGATATGAGAATCTAGATGTCATCTATTAAGCCAGACATTAAAGAGACTAGCAAAAAAATGCTACTTGCTCACTGAAATTTTTGTTTTGTTTTGTACAGCATAAAGCATACACTTTTAATATATAAACATTTATGTTAACATGTAATGGTCATATTATTATTTTAATGAATTAAATATTTAAAAACCTCTTTAAATTTTCTGGTCAATAGTGATAGATAATGATACACAAAAATAAGCACATTTTGGGTTCTCAATAATTTTTAGTAGTGTAAAAATTACAGACAGAAAAATGTTTTAGAATTCTTGGTGTAGGCTAACCTGCTTTTCAGTTGGATGCACTGGGGCACATGTTAAAACAGAAAACTATCAACAGACAGATACTTCCCCTTGGCACGCAAATCGGTTACTGTCATAAATGGCTCTTGGGATCACATCCCAGGTCTCATGTTCTTCTATCTGCTAAACAGTCACTATATGGAATTCTCAACCTCTGGCTTGTGTGACAATAATCTCAAACTTTTCAATTTTTTTGCACAATACAAGTAGGGCTCTTAAGTCACATTCTGGAAATTTACTTTGTGGTTGTTTTGTTTTGTACTTAATGCTACTAATGTCTAGGTTTGGACATTGATGTGCAGGTCTTTTTCTTTTTTCTCTTCCCTCCTTTTCTTTATTTCTCTTCTCTCTCCTTTTCTTTCATGTCTTTATTTTTGTTTTTTTCTCTCTTTTTTTTAAATGGAGATCGCTGAGGGGTTGTAGAGATTATAATAGTAGACTCATCTTTATATTGTAAGGATAAAAGTGCTATATTAATATTTCCTTCCCAAGAACATCATTCTACACCAGACGGTAAACGTTGTGATCCCAAGTAACTTGGTGAGGACTCCAGTTTGTAGCTCTGAAAATTATATGGCATGTATTTTTAACACTGACTAGTACTATTCCTTACAGAACGCATGTGACCAAATCCATAACATATACATGCTTGAAAATTAAAAGTAAATCATTAAGAGTTTGGGAGACCATTTTGTTCAACAGACATAAAAGAAGATGGCACAAATATAATTTTGAAATTACATTCCAATAGCAAACATCATGGTCATAATTAGTATCATAATGACTATTTTGACCATCATTATGGCTACCATGTATAAAAGGAAATTTTCAACTCACAACAGCCCATGCGTGGAAAATAGCAAACTGAAATATCCGTTGCATCCCAAATGGTTCTAACAAGCTGAAGCTGATCAAGAAAGATTAACTTTGAGTGACTTAGGATGCCTTTAGTGCCTTCATCCAAAACTTCTCATGATTGATGAACACTGGGACTGGTTTTAGCCAATCACATTCAGACCTATGAACTTCTTCCCTCCTAATCAGACCACTAGTTTTCAATCTTTATTTAGAATAACACCATGAACACACACACACATATACCCTCCTCTGCTTTCTAGCACTTAAATATCCCAGATTCTGTCACCTCACTGAAACTAGTCAATAAATTGCTTCACTGGTATGTTTACCTTTCCCCGACAAGTTAATAAACTTGGATTAGGTCTCCTTTAATTTCAGCTGTCTTTGTTTTATTTTTTGATAGTTGCTCACTAAGTGGAGGAATAGTATTAAGTATTTTACATATATTTTGACATTTCAATTCTTAGTAAAAGCTCCATTGTAGTCAGGTCACATGCTGGTGAAGATCACAAATTCAAACCAGAGTGCTTGAGCTCTGATCTTGCTCCCCAACTTATATCAACATGATCTTCTGCAAGTTTTTTCACCTCTATGTGCCTGTGTTTACGAGTAAAATGGCAATAATAATAGAACCAAATCCATAGGCTTGTTGAACACAGCAGCAAGATAACACATAAAAATGATTAGAATGGTGCCCAGCACAGAGTAAAGCATTCAATATTAACTATGATGAATTCCATTTACAGATGAAGAAATTGAGCCTTCCAGCAACTGAGGAATTTGCTTCAGGTCACAGCTAGTAAGTGATAGAGCTAGGATTTCTCTCAAGATTTATTTTATGGCAAAATCTTGTGCTGAAAAATTCTTAGTTATAACTACTTTCTACAATGCTTCCCTTTGTTTTGTTGTATTAATTTGTTAAAACGATATAGTCTTGCCTTCTCTTGTTTATTTTATTTTATTCCTTTAAATATAGCATTTTAGAAGAAAAAAGCAGATCATAATGAAACAGAAAATGAAAAACATTCTAAAGCTATGTTGAAAAGTCCATCATTGTCTACATGATGAAAGAATTTCTATATTAACATTTCATTCTTCACCAAAGGGTTTAGCTATTAAATTGATAAATACCACCCTCATTACAAGTTATTTGCTTCTTGAAAAAATTATTTTCTTATAAACATTCTCCGGTTTCTGAAAGTAAAATTTGACTTATTTTAAAATACTCCATTTGATCTATGTAAAGTACCTACTATAAAGAGACATCTGTTAATAAACAGGTTGAAAACCAAAATATGAATATCAAAATAATTTCTAACCTTTAGATAGATAAACTTCATAACCAGTTAAGAAGACATGTTTCATGTGAGTTGACTTGAAAAAGTTTTAGTATTTTTACACCTATGCAAACCATGGTAATCATTATTCATACATAAGGTAAAAAAAGGTCAATCTTGAAGTCATCCTAAGAAGCAGTTTGCATGAGGGAACTGACATTGGAGATTTCTTCTTAAAGATTTAACCTCCAAATGCATTGGTGAAGTGTTGAAAGAGAATATACTTATGTACTTATGGATTTTTAAGGAATAGAAGCAATTACTATATCAAACATACATGCACATGAGAAGTACGTACACACTGCACACACAAATCTCCTGCTGTAATCAGATGAACAGAATGGTTAATGCTTGTCTTGCCTTTGGAGCTACATGAGCACTTTGTACCCAATGAATAACTAATGTATTTCAATTACTGATTGGTAGAGTGTTATGTTTCTGATAGTTCTGTCAATATCACAGTTTTTATTTTTATACTTTGCATTTCACTTTCTTATGATGAGAAACAAACACTTGGAAAAGCTTACTCAGCTTTTAAGCAAAAGATACAGTGTGATCAAGGCTGATGACTAAAATAATAGAATGTCTTGAAATTAAGACATGAACCAAATGTTTCTCATTTCTGTTTCTGAAAATCTGAACATTGTCAAGCCATGGATTTGTTTTGTTCTTTTGTTGAAAACTAGTAATATAAAGAATAGATAGTCCCAAGTGTACCAGATGCAAAGAAAGAGGGGCAACACAGGGTGGAGAAGAAAGCTATGGCCCCCCGCCGCCCCCCCCCCACCCACACAGACAGTGAGATAGAGAGAGATAGTATACACACATATATTTGTTTGTACTATCCGCCGAAAGGGCCTAGAAAAAATAAGACCCTATATCAGTGGGCACACTGGTGCCCAGATCTCAGTTTCTGATGCCATTCTTTGCAAAAAGAAATAAGAACTTCTTAGGGAAATGGCTAATTTCAGGACTGAGGCAGGGAATATGCAGTATCAACCTAGAGGATCTTATAGTGCCAAAAAGAAAGAAAATGCTCAAAACAATGATTGGAATATGTGAAAGGGATACAGGAAGCAAACTAAAAGGGCTCCTAATTGCCAATACTAAAAGTTGAACAACCAAATAGATAGCATAGTATCGGACTATAACCTGAAGTATAAAATAAATATATTTGGCTCCATAATGATATGGACAAGTAATTGAATAAAAAAATAAATGAATAAGAGACAAATATCCCATATAGAAGAATTCCAAATAATTTATATAGATAATGACTGGGCTGGATGTGGTGGCTCACACCTGTAATCCTAGAACTTTGGGAGGCTGAGGCAGGCAGATCACTTGAGATCAGGAGTTCAAGACCAGCCTGGCCAACATGGCGAAACCCTGTCTCTGCTAAATATACAAAAAATTAGTTGGATGTGGTGGTGCACACCTGTAATCCCAGCTACTCAGGAGGCTGAAGCAGGAGAATCACTTGAGCCCAGGAGGTAGAGGTAGCAGTGAGCCGAGATCGGGTCACTGCACTCCAGCCTGGATGACAGAGTGACACTCTGTCTCAAAAAATATATAATAATAATAGTAATGACTGAATATATACAGAAATACATACTTACATAAGTAAATGAATAGGAGAGAATAGACAAATCTCCAGTGAAGAAGAATTCTAAATAGTTTAAGCAGATACTTCCTGCTCAAGGAGCATCCACCACCTTTCAGTCCCTTAAGTGTGGGCTGTATGTAGTGATTTCCTTCATGATAGGGAAAGAAAAAGGGAAGAATACCTTTACCACTTTATCATGGAGAAACCTGACAAATACTATCCCAGCCAGATCATCAAGGTGAACATCAGCAGTGATGAGTGCCGTTGATTCCACGTACCCTTTGTGTGATATAACAAAAATGAGACTTTACCTCTTTGGTATTTATCTCCCAAATCCCATAAATCCAGCCTAGCAAAAAGCAAAATGTCATAAAAATTCCAAGTGAGGGACATTCTACATAATACCTGACCTGCACCCCTCAGCACTGTCAAGGTTATCAAAAACAAGCAAAGACTAAGGAATTACCACAGTCTAGAGAAGCCTAAGAAGACATGACAACTAATGTAGTGTGGTATCCTGAATGGTATCTGGAACAGAAAAATGATATAAGGGAAAAACTAAGACAATCTGAATAAAGTATGAACTTTGATAACAATGTGTCAATATTGGTTATTAGTTATGACAGATGTACCATGCTAATGTAAGCTACTACCAATAGGAAAAGCTGGGTGTGGGATATATGGAAAGTTCTAAATACCACTAAATACCTTAAGGCAGAAGGATCCTTGATTGGTATAAATATCTACTATAAAGGCTTTTGCTGTTTAAAAAAGCAAAACAAAATAAAAAATTACCAACTACTAAAATTAAAATACAAGTATAATGAAAAATTGAAATAATAAAAAATTGCTAGTGGCAGTTCAACATAAATAGCATGGGGAATGTGGTGTATTCTGAAAGATTAATTCATCAGATAATTCTATAACGTGTTCCATGATACAGGTTTTTTTTTCAGTTTGGTGTTTACAATCATCCAGAAAGCTTGTGTTCCTCCAGCCCCAATGGGTTACTGAGGCAGTCCAAAGAAAGGGTGTGACAAAAATGAGTGAAAGTTGAAAGGACTAATATCCTGGGAAGGGGTCAAGGGTTCATTCATAGAATAAATACTCTGCCTCTCCTAAAACCCAGGAGAAAAATCAGATCAGTCCACTCTTTAGGTCAGCAAAAGTGTGTGGCCTTAGAGAAAGACTGAGTTGGTGGTTGAGAAGAAACACATCATCCCCACGGGAATCACACTTCCTCTCTCCTGAAATACAGAAGTCACGTGGAAGAGTAAAAAGACAAAATGTCATCCTGGATCAGCAGAATGAATCCTGGTTTTAGCAGCTAGCTTCTGGCTTCCCTGTGAGGCGACAGATGTTTCAACATATACCTTAACACATGCTATGCACTTAAGTAGAGTAAGAGATTAGCAGGTCTTCACAGTATAAAAAGGCACAAAGACTGGATCCTGGCTCTCAAAGGAAGTTGAAAAATCTATTTTCCCTGGTTAGTGCTAAATGTATGTTAAAGGAAGTTGAAAAGTTTATTTTCCCTGGTTAGTGCTAAATGTATATCATCAAGGAAAAATAAATGAGCAACTTCAAGGACCTCAATGTTCTGTGGAAATAGCAATGGGAAAGAAAAATGTCTTGATTTGTCAAAGCAAAAACAACAACAACAAAAAGGGAGATTCCCAGGATAAACAAACAATAGAGCAAGCAAAGCAATATCAAAATAGGTGCAAGAAGGGAGGTGCTAAGGACAGAAAAATTACTGTTGGCACAGAAACTGAGGGAAGGACTGTTGTTAGGGAGGGAGGGGTTGACTAGGAAAGTAGCTCATCAGCAGCTCAGGCTCACACTAAGGCATGAAGCCAACCTGATTACAAGTGTTGTCAGGTCACAGCTAGGAGAGAGGGGACAGATATGCCCAACAATGGTAATTTTGACTAAAATATGTTCCTTTGGAAGGAAAAGAGTGAGGTGAACAGCCAGGATCTCAGCCTGACTCTTTTTTTTAAACTTCTAATTTAAGTTCAGGGGTCCAAGTGCAGTTTTATGCCATGTGGGTTTGTTGTATAGACTATTTTGTCACCCAGGTATTAAGGCTAGTAGCCATTAAATACTTTTCCTGATCTTCTCCCTCCTTCCACATTCCACCCTCTGAAGGACCCCAGTGTGTCTTTGTTCCTCTCTATGTGTCCATGTGTTCTCATCTTTTAGCCCCCACTTATAAGTGAGAACATGTGGTATTTGGTTTTCTGTCCCTGCATTAGTTTGCTAAGGATAATGGCCTCCAGCTCCATCCATGTCCCTGCAAAGGACATGATATCATTCTTTTTTGTGGCTGCATAGTATTCCATGGTGTATATGTACCACATTTTCTTCATCTGATCTATCATTAGTGGGCATTTGGGTTGATTCCATGTCTTTGCTATTGTGAATAGTGCTGCAATGACTCTTGAAGCCTCTCTGTACCACTAGCAATGGCTAGCAGCTTCTGACCTTAATGATAAAACACATTATAATGAGTAAATGGCTTCCTAGAAAACACAAGGGCTTTCCCTTTATTATGGCTTTTAAGTCAACCAAAGATATTTTCACGCTCCATCTGTGACTCGGCAAGTTACTTAACCCTTCTAGACCTCAGCTTCCTCATAGGGAAAATGGGACTATACAGCATCTCTCTCATAGGATCGTTATAATGATTAAAGCAGACAATACCTAGGACCCGGCATGAAGTGGGCTCTGAAGTGTTTGTAGTGTAGCCACTGTGTCTGATTCTCTTTTGGTAAGATACTTCTGCTTTAATTATCGCGTTTAAGCATCACAACAACATATACAAGGTTCGCTTTTTATTATTTATATTTTTACATATGAGAAATACAAGGCTAAAAGAATAATTTTTTAACTCCTATCTATTGTTTGAATCCAGGTCTTTCCTGACCCCCAAGTCTTTGTTCATTGTACTTAAAGTTCAGTATATGAAAAGGTGCTGGGGCATTATTGAGAGCCTGCCACTGACTACAGGGGTTGGGGGGCTTGGTCCAGAGTCCCTCAGGCATAATGGAATGATGTGGCTAGGTACGAGGAGACCAGTTCAAATTCATGTGGTTAAGCTGACTTTAAACTGTATGAAAAGCCTGCATAAACGGAATGGGGAAAGAGTGTCCTCCTCCCTTTATACAGGGCAATGGGTGTTGTTTCCAAATGAATGATTCATCATATCATTCCACACCAAGACCTTTTAATAGTGACACAACAAGACCCAGACTCCCCTGGTGAGGCTAATAATAGAAACAAACTTTTTTTTTTGTCCCTTGATATGTGTTAAGCACTGTGATAAGAGTTTTTCCATTTAATATTTACATATACACTCTGAGGTCTGTGCTATTATTATCTCCATTACAAAGATGAGAAATCCAGCGCTAATGGTGGCAGAAACAGGATTGGAAATAAGATCTGCCTGGTTTTAGTGCAAATTCTAACACCTCCCATTCCGTCTTTCTTTTGGAATACACAGACTCTGAGTGGCCTTGCACTCACTTTCTGGCCTTCTATCTCAGCACTTTCCTTGTTGAGCATTTTGCTCCAGTCAGATGTACTCCTCACTGCTACTGAAAACTGCCATGGATACCATGAACTTTCTGTTTGCTATGGTTTTCCTGAAATGTCAGACACCCATATTCTTTCTTCTAGTCCTCCCAAATAATTTCTTTCTCAAGACTGAATACTCTATCTGCCCACCCAAACCAACCAGTTGCTCCTTATCAGGAGGTTTATATCACTGATAATTAGCTGATTTATTTTCCAATTATCATTTAATTGCCACCTTGTACTCTTAACCATTTATGTAATGGCTTAGCTAAGCTTAGCAATGCTTAGCATTGTATATGCACTGATCCATGTTCAATAAATGTCAAGTGATTGACTAATTGCAAAAGAAGAATATTCTGATCAAAAGAGGTGATATTAAAACATGAAAGAAAACAATTCTATCACAAAATTCCAACACATAGCTTATGAACATCGGAAAAGAGTGGCATGGTCATCTTGATGATCCTACTTAAAATAAAGTGGATGAACAAAAAGAAACTGTAGCAAAAAGGACAGAAATTGAGGAAACATACTGGGGAATGGGGAAGTTGACATTTCAGTTTTGAAGAATTACATTGACTGTGTGACAAATACCTTCTAAAAATGCAGCGGCCAATTTGAATATATAATTCTACTATATGGAACTAGTAAATAGCATTTCATTTTCCTTAAATGACTTTTACTGAACTTGATACCAAGCATGATTTTTTTATATTGATATTTTATTATATGACTTTATTCCAATAAAAATGAAAATGGAACAGAATAGGTAACTCAGAAAGAATAAGAAACCTTACCAAATCCTAACAGTTTTTGGTTCCTCAAAAGCTGTTTTTAACAGGTACATGGACTGAATTGTTTTCCTAGGTTTTTTTCTTTGTTTCAAGAATTTAATGCTTATTCCTTATTCTTTTATTTTGCTGTTTTAAAAATTATCTTCGCTAGACTGTTAGGCTATTATCTGACTCTGTTTAGTCTTTATTGAGTTGAATTCTCTTTTAGTGGAAACCAGAGTTCACTGATAGAAAACTATAGAATGTAGGTTGCCGTTAGCTTGTCTGTTCTCCTTCCTCCAAGTGCCAATTTTGATATTCCTCAAGGACATGTAAAATCTGCTCCTATTTCACTTATTACTGACAGAGTTAGGCATTAAAAACTAGAAATATCCCAGAGGTTTTTCTTTCTTGAATATCTCTCTGTCTTGCTTCTGGATGTTTTTAGAAAGTAGATGTGGTGTAGATGTTACTCTACCCAGAATAAAGCTGGAAATTAAAAGAAAAGCATGCTAACAATACCAAAATGGGATGCTAAGTTATTTATAAATAATGCTAGTGCTAAATGGAATTTCTGATTACAATTCCTGAACTTTTTGATTCCCCAAGTGGATAAAGAAGAAGTTAACCTTGTCCAAAGACAGGTCTGGCCTTTGCCCTCAGCTCTTGGGAGGTAATTTCTAAGCCCTTCAAATATCCCGCCTAAAAAGAATGTCTTTGTTTCCCAGGGATCTTGGGCCAAGCCAGATAGTTTAACAGTGTGATTTATGAGGAGGGCTTTGGGTCACATGATATCAGCTTGATCTCTGGAAGGGCTGGATCTAGGTTAGCCACATGGATAGTCAACTTTGTCTATGATATGAGCCTGAATAAAAACTCTGGACACCAAGACTCAGGTCAGCTTCCTTGGTTGGCAATACTCCATGTGTACTGTCACAAACATTGCTGGGAAAGTTGCCACTGTCCATGGCTTCATTGGGAAGTATGTGTGTGTGGACATGTTTTGGACTCTGCCTCATGCACCTCTTCCCTTGGATGATTTTAAGCTGTATCTTTTCACTGTAATGAGCTGCAACCAAAAATTTAACTGTTTTCAGTGAGTTCTGAATCCTTGTAGAAAATTTTTAAAACTGAAAGTGATCTTGGCAATCCTTAGTTGCAGTTGGTATCAGAAGTGAGAGTGGTCTTTGATATCCCAGAATATGCACTAAGTGAATATATTCACATTTTATCATTAACATGGTAGAACTTAAGAATCATAATTATTATCACTCACTCTCATAATATGTGCAATTTATTCTAATTTTGAAGAGCTAGGGGAAAGCCAGTAAAAGCTTGTGTTGGCATTAAGACATAATTGGGGGAAAGCCAGTAAAAATTTGTGTTGGCATCAAGACATAATTAGATTACCTTGGTGCTGGTATTCACCATGCTCCATTGCAGATGGCAATGCCATCATCACCCTCTCGTGCTATTTCTTGGAGATGGCTTAAGTGTAGAATTTTTGCTTTTCTGCTTGCTTGGGGGTAAATCTGATGTTTTTTTTTAAAGGATGAGTAAAAGACAGGATATAATAGACTTTTCTGGTTTCTTGGCATGAATATTATTTGATGAAAATCTCAGACGGATGTAAAAAGATGCCTTTGCAAGGTACTAGGGCTTAGAACATTAAGTGACTCATATTACTAATAAGACATTTAGCTTAACACATCTGCCTCCTAAGAAGTGTCACTGTTTTCCATAAAATATCTTTTTTTCTAAAAGCTAGCCAGGATATTTATGTGTGGGATAGTTCTTGAGGAGAGGGTGGAAGTTATGATGTGTGCAGTGATATGATCTGGTGGAAAAGCCGAGAAAACCAACTTTCTATGTCTATTATTATTATTATTATTATTTTTGGAGACGGACTCTTGCTCTGTCGCTCAGGCTGGAGTGCAGTGGTGCGATGTCGGCTCACCACAAGCTCCGCCTCCTGGGTTCATGCCATTCTCCTGGTTCAGCCTCCCAAGCAACTGGGAGTATAGGTGCCTGACACCACGCCCGGCTAATTTTTTGTATTTTTTAGTAGAGACGAAGTTTCACCGTGTTAGCCAGGATGGTCTCAATCTCCTAACCTCATGATCTGACCACCTTGGCCTCCCAAAGTGGTGGGATTACAGGTGTGAGCCACCACGCCTGCCCCTGTGTGTTTATTATTAAGATCTCACTTATTCAGGAAAAATATTGTAGGTGTCTTTCAATTTATTCAATAAAAAGTGGACTTACAATGAAATAAATATTGCTCTTGTTGCTGTTTGATCTTCTATGAGGCCTGCAGTCACTGGTTTAAGAATCCTCTTTTGTATGGCTTATTGCCAGTCCTCTTCTTACTCCCATCAGTAATATCCTCTGTATGTTACCGGTAGACTTTTGCCCACTCACCTGGCAAACACTTTTAATATATCATTGAATAAGAAAGCTTAATGAAAAGATGAATATATTCACCCATTCAAAATAGCACCTGCTCAGCTCAGACACTGGACAAAGTCCAAAATGTTAAATGTCAATTTCACTAGCAGGAACTTTCTCTCTAAATCTCTCTCTCTTTCTCTTTCTCAAGAATCTAGAATGTGAATGTCTAGAATAGTGTCTGGAACATAATTTTTATTGAATGAATGGAGACAAAGGGTATGGATCAGAATCACAAGAAAGAAAAGGTACTCAGATTAGGTTTTGGAGGGTATATTCACAGATGAACTGTTTACGCACATGAATTGGAAGGGGTCATAGGTGTAATACAAGGAATACTGCAGTAACCTCATGCACAAAGGAGCTATTTTCTGTCCTAGGTACAAAGGGAAAAGGTGAGGGAATGGTTACTACAACCTGGAAGAAGTTTGTGTAGAGAATGTTGCTTTGGGAGAGACAATGAAGAATCCAGATAGCTGAGGTCCCTTTCAGGGAATGAGCAGAGAAATAAATGCAAATGCCTTGGCATCACATCCCTCTCTTGCTCTAATTTACTCTTAAGATTCCCACTTGGAATCTAACCAAATTCATGAGAACCCGTGGTGAACACCAGAATGGCCAGTCTCTGGGGAAGGGTGCAGAGTAACCTAGAGGAGAAAAGGAGAGATATCTAGGAGGGAGTTTCCAGTGTGGACAGGGAGATGGGGCATACATAGGCACTTCCATATACAGCTTAATTAGAGCTATTCTGGGGGCAAGGACAGGGTGCTCCCGGATTCAGCAGACAAGATACCTGCATCATCAGGGTCCAGTCAGAGAACAGACGCTACACAGTAATTTGAACAGAGACAGGTTAACGTAAAGAATTCTTAACTAATAACAGGCAGGTAGCTAGCTATAAGGTGTTAAGAGAACTCTAAAGAATACAGAAATCACAGGCACGGTGGCAAATAGACAGCAGTTTCTACCCCTAGGCTGAAGCAGAGCACCCAAGTCAGGAACGAATGTGGAAGAAAGCCCTCCATCCAAGGCTGAGATTCACATCTCATTGGAGAAGTACGGCTATAGGGCCACCGATGGCAGAGGAGTTCACTGAAGCACGTGTGGCTGGCTGAGGCTGGAAAGCAGGAAAACACCCATGGAGGTGCTGAGAAAACATGCCAGGAATCCACCCATTGGGTGCTGATGTAAAAGCTCCAGAATGAGCTCGGCTGAGTATCCTACTCACAGTCTAAGTGCAACAGGAGCAAGAAGAAAGGCAAGCACAGGGAAGCATAAAAAGAAGCCCCTTCCCTTTGGGAGGCTGACGCGGGTGGATCATGAGGTCAGGAGATCAAGACCATCCTGGCTAACACGGTGTAACCCTGTATCTACTAAAAAAAAAAAATACAAAAAATTAGCCTGGTGTGGTGGCGGGCGCCTGTAGTCCCAGCTACTTGGGAGGCTGAGGCAGGAGAATGGTGTGACCCCGGGAGGCAGAGCTTGCAGTGAGCAGAGATCACGCCACTGCACTCCAGACTGAGTGACAGAGCGAGACTCCATCTCAAAAAAAAAAAAAAGAATCCCCTTCCTCCTGCAATGTCCCTCCAGTGTCCTCCACTGACAAAGATGAACATCATGCCTGATGGCAAAAAATATTTACAGGGTCCAGATACAAAAATCACAGGGTGGTGAAGAGTACACTTTGAGTTGAGAAGCAACAGCTTGGTAACTGACACTCCATCTAACCCAAAATAAGTGGGGTTAGGGTAATTAAAGGAGGAATTTTAAATGAGTTGGAGTTTTTTAGGTAAAATGTTTAAGGAAGAACAATACGCTAAGGATGCTGCATATTAAACAAAAAAGTCAGAGTTGAGAAAACATTCCACTGGGGATCATAAGTAATTTAGAATGATTGGAGTCAGTTATGATCATGAGAAGCTCCAAGCATGCTCCCTTGCCATGTGTAATGCCAAATATCATTTTACTTTTCCCTAGCCAGTGATTTATTAGGTAAGAAAAAGAAATAAAAGGCATAAAGAATGGGAAATATTTTGTTTTTCAATACAATACAGTAACTACCTGAAAGCTAAAGTTAAAGTAGCTTTTCTAGATTTATCTGATTATAAGTTATGGATAGATTCACTGAGTTCAACTTTCTCATTTTGGAGGTGGGTTGGGGAGAATGCGGCTTGCATTGCTGGTGTCCTAAGCATGTGCTTAGTGGGCTTGGTAGGTAATCCCAAACCATCTGCATGGGAGATGAAGCTGGAGAGGTTGACAGGAGCTAGAAAGTAAAGGGAAGCAAGAAGTTTCTGTTCTCTGAGGACATGGGGAGACACTATATTGTCTGTACTGTCAAGCATAGGTACATATATGTAGTCATTTTTATAGTTGGTAGAAAGCAAGGGGATTAGGTCAAAGCCATTGATCTCTTCTTCTTTTATTTACAAGTTACTTATAGTTAACTTTTAATAGATGAATAGCTGCTTTAATATTAAATTTTAACAAAATATACCAAAAAATAAAAGCTTCACATTATGTTTAGTAGATTTTCATGAGCTCTAATACTTCACAGGGTTCTGACTCTTAATAGCATGAGGTATTCTGACAATAGTTTAGACCTGTTTGTAAAATTTTCTCACATCTAAATTTCCTTTCAAATATATATCTGTACTCGTTTTCTAACACAGCTGTTCCATCAGATAACCTCTTGAGTGACAATTGTCATATGATAATATATTTCAATTATGATAATTGTTCAAATGAAATGACAGATGACACCTGAACCTCTAAAGTAGCATACAAGATAATGTGATCAACACAACGCCTTCTTTCTTCCCGACCCCAGAATTATTAAGGTATAATGGACAAATAAAAGTTGTATATATTTAAGATGGACAACGCTGTGTTTTGATATATGTATACATTGTGAAGTGATTACCTCAATCAAGCTAATTAACATAGAAGAAAGTCATTGATTCTGGCAGCTTTCAAGGCCTCTACTGAAAGATGCCTCTCCTAGGAAATACCTTCATCATAAATATTTCAGTGAAAACCAGCACAATCCTTAACTTACCAATGATCTTTGTCGAAAGCCGGCGTATTCCAAAATTAAGTTTCCCAGTTGCCAACTTTGGTCTTACAGAACACTGCCAATTTGTTTCCTTTCCCTTTCCCCAACCCCTGATCTTGAATTTAAGAATGTTTTTAATAAATGTCAGTGGCTTTTTGGCAGGAAGAGAATAACTTCTGGTCTCCATGCAACTATAAAGAATTAAATTAAAGAGTGGTCACATTTTTATGCTTTGGTTTTATTGGTGAAGATGGCTCCTTTACCACTTTTAAAATGGAAAGCATTTTTGAAAAATTGTAATTTGCTTTTCTGTCATTTTCCTTATGTCCCCATAATTAATAATGACATTAAAGATAATAATTGCTAACCATATAAAGCATAACACTATATGCCCAGAACCATAAAGCATTTTTCCTACATTTGCTCATTTAATCCTCACAATAACTTTTTGAATTAGGTATTTTAATTAAGAGACAGAGAGTTTAACTTGACTCAAGGCTGACTACTAACAAGTCAAGGAGTCAGGACTTCAACCTTTGCAGTTTGCCTCCAGAGTCTGTGTTTGCTGGGTTGGAGTGGATTAAAAGTGGGTCTGAAGGATTTGGAGTAAGAACATCTATGTCAAAATCCTGGGGATTAGAAACTCAGTTAATCCCTTTGGTATTATTTATCCTGATTTATAAAATGAGGCATTGGATGATTTTTTTTTTTTTGACATGGAGCCTCACTCTTGTTGCCCAGGCTGGAGTGCAATGGCGCTATCCCATCTCACTGCAAACTCCGCCTCATGGGTTCAAGCAATTCTTCTGCCTCAGCCTCCCTAATAGCTGGGATTATAGGCACACACCACCATACTTGGCTAATTTTTTGTATTTTTTTAGTAGAGGCAGGGTTTCACCATGCTGGCCAGTCTGGACTTGAACTCCTGACTCAGGTGATCTGGCCGCCTTGGCCCCCCAGCATTGGACAATTTTTAAGGCTCCTTCTCACACTTCCCAATTTCAGACATGTGGAGTGGGCCTTTTGGCCATTATTGTTGAGGTTTTTTATCGTCTTAACCCTCTCCACCTCCACCTGGACTCACATGTCTGCTTATTATTGATTGCTTCCCCCCAAGCCTAAAGAGTCTTTGGGAATCTGCCTCCACCCCCTTTTCTCTGGTGGAGTCTTGTTCTCTGAACCAACTTAATAGGGTCTTGATATAAAAACACAATCTGACTTTTAAGGCACTATATTGTGTCATGTTCTTACTGTGTGCCCTGTAATTTCAACAAGATATTAATTTGTTTCTGCTATGAAGCCTCTAGAGTCTTTTTTTTATTATTATACTTTAAGTTTTAGGGTACATGTGCACAACGTGCAGGTTAGTTACATATGTACACATGTGCCATGTTGGTGTGCTGCACCCATTAACTTGTCATTTACATTAGGTATATTTCCAAATGCTATCCCTGCCCCCTCCCCCAACCCCACAACAGGCCCCAGTGTGTGATGTTCCCCTTCCTGTGTCCATGTGTTCTCATTATTCAATTCCCATCTATGAGTGAGAACACGCGGTGTTTGGTTTTTTGTCCTTGCGATACTTTGCTGAGAATGATGGTTTCCAGCTTCAGGCTATTCACAATATCTTCTAGACTCTTTTAAAAGGTTTTCTACTCTTGAACTAGAAGAAGATACTTAATGCAGTCTGTGTGGTCAGACAGTGCTCTGCTTGAAACTCACTACTTAAATGGAAAGCTTAACTTACAAGTTAAGCTTCAAATAAAGCTTTACTGTTACCCTCTGCAAATCCCCAACTTTTCTACCATCAGTTGAGACTCTTGTTTCAATGTAAACTAAATTGTATATACAATATGCAAACTCCCAGACTTTGTGTTTTAGGTGACTGGTCTGGGGTTACAGTACTGAAACTTTTTCCCCTTTGTCTTCTTTTTGCTTTGACCACGCACGCAGGGCTATAGTACACACAATAAATGAGGCAGCAAATTTCTTCAGATGCAGAGCTCCTGTGCCATTGTTGGTTATGAATTCCTACTATATTTTGATATTTTGTGCAATTTAATGGGATTTAGCAATAAAATCCTTGCCTATTGGGAGGAGTATAGCATTGCACCCCTGCTGTGCTCAGCAGTGTCTCCTGGAAGGTTGTAGAGAAGATGTTATGCTGACCTGTTACCATGTTTACGTAAGTTATTGTCTGCTTAATACATTTGGTAGTAGTTGCATGATAAGTAGATTTTTGGAAAGGGATAGTCTTTTAAGTCTACATTTAATTTCTCAGTAGAAACCAGTTTCTCCTCTTTAAATGTTTCCATATTGGGGATATTGCCTTAACTGACCTTATTTCTAGCTTTCTCTGACCTGTTCTGAGGGATATTTCCTTACATGCCACTGATGCCTCAGTGACTTTTCCAGAATAGCTTAGAACCACTATGTTTTGCTGTATGCCCAGCACTTAACCAGGCTGGGATTTTTAGGATTTAAGGGCTAAAAGATTCAACCCATTTCATAAATCCTTGTGACATTAGTCGTGTGTGCAGAGCAAAGAGACGGAGTTTTCCAAATATACCTGAGAGCAGCAAGTATTTGTTGTCATAATGGGGTAACGGCGTTGGTCCATAGCTCTGTTTTTATTCCTGTCTTGGCCATTAGGATCGGGATTAGGTGAAGAGGCTTCGTTACATATCTAGGGAGAGCATTCTGGACTTATATGAAGATAGGGGAGACAGTAGAATCCCTGTTACTAACAGTGAATAATGTATTTAAATGTCCTCTATGGTATGGTTTGGATGTTTGCCCCACCCAAATCTCATTTTGGAATGTAATCCCCAGTGTTGGAGGTGGGGCCTGGTGGGAGGTGTTTGGTTCATAGGGGAGGATCCCTCGTGGCTTGGTACTGTCCTCATGTTAGTGAGTTAGTTCTCACTAGATCTGGTTGTTTAAAAGTATGTTAGCACCTCCCCCAAGCCCTACTCCTGCTCTCACCATGTGACGTACCTGCTCCCACTTCACTTTCCACCATGAGTAAAAGCTCCCTGAGGCCTCCCCAGCATCTGAAGAGGTGCTGGCTCCATGCTTGTACAGCCTGCAGAACTGTGAGCCAATTAAATCTCTTTTCTTTATTATTTATCCAGTCTCAGGTATTCCTTTATAACAATGCAAGAATGGCCTAATACACCCTATATCTCTGAAAGTAGCTTTCACATTAATTGTTTTTATATCACAAAAAAAATTTATCAAAAGCATCTGTTGAACAGACAAAGATTAGGGCAAAAATGGGGCAATTTTACCAGAGAGGCTGCATCTCCTCTCCCAAGCCTCACATTCCGTAATTTATCCACCCTTGCCCAGCAGCCCAGAATGTGGGCAACCACTCTCCCAGGATTGCAGGGCTGAATGTGTTCCCTGAGACTGCACTGCATGTTTTTCCAGAGCACTGTTAGGTAAACCAGAACGCACTGTACAGTGTACATATGGTGTTTCTCTGTCCTTTGGGCCAATACTTGGCAACTCAGTCAGGATGTGGAATCCTGAATCTAGGCAGATCTCCACCTGGAGACTTTGGTTTTGCAAAAGGCTGCAAGGTCAGAATAGAATTTGTCTCCCTTCACAGGCAATCCATTATTCAGATTCAGATGCAGTTCCTCTAGATATCTCTTACGTGTTTACATACATGCATGCATTAAGCATATATCAGTATTCAGAAGGAAAGGAATAACACTTTGAATTTGAATATTAGGTGTTTCAAAATGGGATCTTATATGTCGCTTTTCCTCCCTCCAAAGTCATTCCCTGTTTACTTCTGATGACTTTGAAAGTTTATGCAGGGAAGATGAATTCTACTTCCACATAATCAAGCATTGTGAAATAGCAGAACAAATAAACATCTTTATAAAAATGACAAAAACCTTTACACTAGAGCGTCTTGCCTCCACAGGGCATTCAATTAATTATGGGCTGGGAATAAATAATACTTTTCATAATACCTTGACATTTATCTGGGTGCATTGTTTTATAAACAACATTATTCACTAACAGTCTTTCAGTTCTGTCTTCATTACATGGTGATCTTATAACTCTAAATGAGAAATTTCTACATTAAGAATTTGGCAGATTTATAATTGAGTTTTATAATGATTTTGATATTGATAATAAAAACTTACATATTCAGCATTTTATCTCACATTCCTTAGTCTACCCTTCTATATTCTTTTTGGTTCACTTTTTACCAAATTTTGTGTTAAATAAAGTGAGCAAGAAAGAATTTTAGTGAAACATATATAAAGTTTAAATAATACAATACAATGTATACTTTTGTATTGCATTTCCTTCCCCAGCTCTACTCCCTTCTCAAACTCTGTGTTTAGAATTGTGTTAATTATTCCCTTCTTGTCCTTATTGTTTTATCATGTGTTTGTACCTTTAAATATCATATGGTTTAGTTGTGCATGTTTTTGAGATACAAACAGATAGAAGCATACTGTAGGTACTCTTTGGAAATGTTTTTCCCATTTGACTTTACACCCCTGAGATTCATCTATGTATTCATGTAGCTGAAATTCATTAAATTCTACTTTTTTTTTTTTTTGACTGAGTCTTGTTCTGTCACCAAGGCTGGAGTGCAGTGGCGTGATCTTGGCTCACTGCAACCTCCACCTCATGGGTTCAAGTGATTCTCATGCCTCAGCTTCCAGAGTAGTTGGGATTACAGGCACCCGCCAACACGCCTGTCTAATTTTTGTATTTTTAGTAGAGATGGGGTTTCACCACACCGGCCAGACCTAGAACTCCTGACCTCTAGTGATCCGCCCGCTTTGGCCTCTGAAAGTGTTGGGATTACAGGCATGAGCCACCGTGCCTGGACTCTTTTTTTTAATTTTTATTTTTTCCAGACGGAGTCTCGCTCTGTTGCCTGGGCTGGAGTGCAGTGGCTCGATCTTGGGTCACTGTAACCTCCGCCTCCCAGGCTCAAGAGATTTTCCTGCCTCAGCCTCCTGGGTAGCTGGGATTACAGGCCTGTGCCACTGCACCCGGCTCATTTTTGTATTTTTAGTAGAGAAGAGGTTTCATCATGTTGGCCAGGCTGGTCTTGTACTCCTGACCTCAGGTGATCTTCCAGCCTTGACTTCCCAAAGTGCTAGGATTACAGGCATTAGCCACTGTGCCCGGCCTAATTCTACTTCTTTATGAATGTATTCAACCCATGTTTGACTATATTGCTATTTATAATTCTATAAGTAAATCTTCAGGTTTTCAGGTTTTTGTTATCACAAACCCCGTTGTTACGAACAAGATCCACAAATCTTTGACGCTCAATACTTTTTTTAAAAAGAAATATTTCTAAGAGTGGCATTTCAGGGCACAGAGAATGGATTTCTTCATTACTAAGTAAGCCAAAATGTTTCCCAAAGTGGTTGCTTCCATATATATTGCATCAGCAGAGTATGTGATGAAATGGTGTCAAATACTGTCAGATTTTAAAATATCATCAAGTTGATGGGTGCAAAATGGTATCTCACTGTGGTTCTAGTTTCTTTTTCAAGGAATCCTGATGACACTAAGCACAGTTTCATTTGTTTACTATCAACTATTTTATTTGCTTTTATACAAAGTACCTATTTTTCTATTGGATTGTTAAAATATTTTGAAAAAATTTTTATTGAATGAAATGGACAGTTTGTACAGTTTGATCAATTTTTACAATGCCTACATTCCTGAAACTCACATTCCTACCAATATTGAAACTATTTATTTACCCTAAAAGTTTCCTTGCATTATTTTTCAGTTGATTCCCCAATTCCAGAAACAACCACAGATATAATATCTAGTATCACAGAATAACTTCACCTGCTTGAGAATCTTAAATAAATGGGATCATATAATATGTTTTTTATGTTTGGCTTTCTTCGCTTAGCATGATGTTTTTGAGATTCATTAATGTTGTTGCATCTCTTAGAAAATCTTTTTTATCACCAAGTATTCTGCTTATTCAACTGTATAAACACCTAGATTGTTTTCAATTTTTTGCAATTACAAATCAAGCTGCTAGGAAGATTCTTCTACAAGCTTTTGGTAGAAAGGAACTCTTCCAATATCCTTCTCTGCTAATTCTAACACCTGGGTCAGTTCTACATGGATTTTAATTGACTCATTCTTCTCTGTTGAGGGTTGTATGTTCTTGCCTCTTCACATGCCTTATTGTCTTTGATTAGATGACATTGTTGAATGATTGAAATTTTTGTTATTTCTATAGATTTTCTTGAGCTTTGTTCCATGCAATTGAGTTACTTGAAACAGTTTGCTGTTTTCAGGTCTTACTCTTATGATGTTTAGGCACTTCTGAAACAGAACCTAGTCTAAGGTTAATTATTCCTCACTACTGAAGCAAAACCTTCCTAAGTACTTTGTCCAGTGCCCTAGGAATTAAGAGTTATTCCAGTCTGCTTGGTGGGAGCAGTCATTGTTTCCAGCCCAGCGTCAGCACAGTCTCTGTTCCCTCTTTTGATAATTCTTTCCTGGGTAGCTTCCTAACATGCATGTGCTGATTCCCATCAGAGTCCCTCTGCAGATCTCTGGAGTTGGCTGTCTGTGCAGCTGTCTCCTCTCTGGAACTCTCTGCTGTGAACTCTCGCTGCCCAGGTCTCCCAGGACCAAGCTTCATCTCCTCACGTCGGGGAACCCACCTCAGTTCTGCCTCCCTGCACCGCAGCCTAGGAATGCTCTCAAGGCTGTTAGGTGGAGCAGTTATAGGGCTCACATTGTTTGTTTCCCATCCCTCAGAGATCACCTGTTGATTAATGTATTTTACTTTTTAAGGTGTGGCGGTGGTGGTGTTTCAGGCAGAGGTTACATCTGGTCCCTGTTATTCCACTTTGACCAGAAAGCACCGATATTTCAAATTGGACATTTGTCTGGCACCCTGGGAAGTAATTTCCCTCCAGGTAGGGGGGTATTGTTACGTTCAGAATGTGTGAGAGGTGTGCCTTTCTTTAAAAGAAGAAGAAATAGCTAATGGAGGCAGGTAGTAGAAAGAGCCAGAATGACACCCGAACAGCCCCACTCCTCCTGGTGAGCAACATTTTGAGGGGTCTTTCTTCTCTCTGAGTGTGTCAGTCAGAAAAACATCCTGCTCAGGATCTGCTAGCATGAGCTTTTGTTGTGGTCTCAATTGAGGTTGGGGGCTTGGAGAAAGTGCATTGTAAACAGGAGGAAACAGAGTTGGAAAGAAAATATTTCTTATTAAAGTTGGACATGTGATAGGAGTTGAACTTTTGTCTTGAGGTGTTAACCTCTTTGGACACCTGAATATTTTTGCCAGTGTTTTTACATATGTGGTTTGCACATGCACCGCAATAGTATTGGTGGTGGATCCACCTGATGTAAGATGAATGATCTGAAAGGAATGAGCTGGTTAATTGGGGGGATTTTCTTCCAGGTTGAATTTGTTTGGAGGAAAGTCCGTGTTACATCAGAAAGTGGTATCCTCTCACAAAGAGCCTCTCATGAGCTGGCTGATGTGAAGCTGCATTTTTAAAGTGACTTTGAGATCATTTTTCTGAGTGTATTCAGAATTTCAACTGTTCTTTAAAGTTCTGCCTCTGAGCCCCAAATCTCTGAACACTTCTCACATCTGCTCCAACTATTCAGTCCTCCTCGTTTTGTTATAGCAATGTTAGAAATATAGTGCCATTTGTAGTCTGCAGCTTGAGTTAAACCAATGACACAAACATCCTAGAGCAGTACATTTCAATTTTTGGTATTACAACATGAAAGATAATGTAGAGCAGTTTCAGCAACTTTGAGAGAATAGAAACACATGGTGATAGCCTTTGCAACTCATAGAAAACTGGTTTTCTTTTAATAATCCTTTATAATTTCTCCTTCTAAATCACAGCATATGACTAGTTGCTTCCTTACCTTGTAAAATATTCACTTTTTTTTATTCACATTTCCTAACACCAAAATAATCTTCTAAGGGTTCAGGTAGATTATGCCAAGCACATCTGAGATCCAGGTTGATAACAAACATTGGGCATTTGCATCGTTTGGTTTCCCAGTCATGGGGTTCTTGAGAGATACCCCAAAGTGGACATGATTCCAATGATTGCAAATAAATAGCAGCCTGCAGACTAATTGGCATGTAGCTTGGAGCAAGAGCAGCCAATGTGACTTACAAGGGATCTACTGTGTCCTAATAGGCCTAGATATTTCCTGCAGACCCCGGCAAAGTGCTTCAGGCTGTGCCTAGAGTAGCTCAGTCTGAAAGCCTTTTAGATTGTGGCAGCTGCTGATTAAAGAACATTTTTCCCTAGAAAGGATGGGAAAAAAATGAGAAGAGTGGAAAATGACTATAAACTCTGTTTCACTGAAGATAGGAAAAAAGTATTGTTGAACTCGATGTCAGTGAAGGGCCTTTCCCATTTGTAGAAAACTTATCAAAATAACCTCCCTTGGGCTGATCATATCCTACTGTTGACCTTTCTTCTAGCAGCTTAAACTTTTCATGGCTGTTAAAGAGCATTATCTACTTTTTCATATCATTTTCTTCCTATACGTGATGATGGTGAGGCATTTTATACTTTACAAGTGTTTCATGCTTTATGTACATCATATGATTAGAATACCATAGCAACCTTAAGAAACCTATCTTGCAGGTAGGTGTACAGCAAATAATAACAATTAAATTATTAAAAGCATTATTCTTTAAAAAGAAGATCTAATAGAGTTTTTAAATTTTAAACAGTTTGGAAAGCAGATGAATAGCTACAAAAGTGTCATTCACTTGGCTCCATTACCTCCCAATTAAGTTTCTCTAAAGAAAGGACAGAGAAAAGATAAACAGGCTCAGGTGATTAGGGGAATCTCTTCCTCTGTTTATTATGTAAATAAAGTTTTATTGAAACACAAAACACACTCATCCATCTGTCTATGGCTGCTCTTCTGCTACAACAGGGAAGTTGAGTAGTTGTTAACAGAGACCAGTTGGGTTGCAAACCTTAAAGTATTTGCTATCTGGCCTTTACAGAAAAGATTTGCTTACTCCTGATCTAGGTAACTGAAAAACATCTGGTTTGAGTCACCACAATGGAGAACCATGGCCTCTAACCCAGTTGCCAGACCTAAGCCAATTTATAGCCCCAGAGTCCCTTGGTTGATAGAACTGGACTCTGTAGCATTGTCACAATATATACAGTAAATATACCTCTAAGATTTTCCACAGACAAGTCCTCTGTAGACATGTACAATGTCTACAGAGAAGACATCTGTAGTCATTGACTAGAGTGACCAAGCCCTGGAGAAAAAGAATCACCCAGACTTCTAAAGGATTATGAGACACTGGTTCTGAATGGTTCTGAATTGATGCTAATTCCTTAGGACCCAAGGTATCACTGCATCTCATCAGTCAAAGTGGGAGCTTATGGTGCTCCTGTGATAGATGGCCTTGGCCAAAGTTCCACTCGCAGTGGATCTGGTTGGTCCAAAGACTCACCC
This sequence comes from Homo sapiens, assembly GCF_000001405.40. Taxonomy (NCBI): domain Eukaryota; kingdom Metazoa; phylum Chordata; class Mammalia; order Primates; family Hominidae; genus Homo; species Homo sapiens. The sequence goes on along the minus strand of NC_000012.12, from coordinate 30,330,158 downwards.
TGTGGCTCTTTTCCCAGATCCTAAATGTATAATCAGAATCAATGTACTCAGAAACTGGAAGAATCCCCACATTAGATCTCTGACCCATATGATGAGGGAGATTTGAATAGGAAGAGCTAAGTGGAAGCTCCTAGAACTTCCCTTCTCTATCAAGATACTAAGCGAGAAGGAACATCACATCCCAGGTGGAAATGCAGAAATCAGTGTCACCATCAAAAACTTGAAACAAGAATAGCGATATGTTTCTCATCTCCGTGCCTGTTGGGGCCATGCAAAAATTGGATGGATCTTTGGGAATGACTCTGGATTATTGTAACTTAATTAGATGGAAACTTTGATTGCAGCCACTGTCCCAGATGTGGTTGGTATATTTACTGGAGCAAATCAACACAGCCTCTGGCACTTGGTATGCAACTGTGGGCCTAGTTAGTGCTGTTTTTTTTTTTTCCCTCCACACCAATTTGCAAAAGATAGCTATAAGTAGATTGCTTTTTTAAAAAGACAGTATACTTTCACAGTCTTGTCTCAGGGCTACATCAACTTTCTTGCTCTCTATCATAATACAGCCCAGAGAAATCCCAATCATTTGGCAATCCACTAAACATAACAATGGTTTACTATATTTATAACATTACGCTGATTGAATCTGCTAAGCAGGAAGTAGCAAATAATTTAAATAACTTTGTACGATATACATGACTCACAAGGCAAAAGATAAATACCACATAAATACCACATAAATACCAGCTTAGTGAAGTTACTGGTAATCCAATGCTCTGGAGCATGTTGAGATATCACCTCCAAGGTGAAAGGCAAGATGCTGAGCCTTGCACCACTTACCACAAGAGAAAGAAGCAAAATTCTTGGTGGTCTTCTTTGTATTTTGGAAGCACTATGTGTCTTGATTTCAAACTAAGTCACCCATTAGGCTGACAGTTTTGAGGAAGGATCAAAGCAAGGGAAAGTTCTGAAGCAAGTTCAGACTGCAATGCAAGCTGCTCTTCCACTTACCTTATTATCCAGTGGATCCAATGATTTTCTAAGTGTCTGTGGAAAATAATGTGTTTACAGCCTCTGGCAAGCACCCATAGAATAATCACAATGCAGACATCTCAGATTTTTAAAATACATCTATGCCCTCTTCTGCAGATAATCATTCTCTTTTTTGAGAAATACTTTCTGGCTTGCTACTGGCTCTCGGAAAAGATTAAACATCTAATCATAGTGTTATGGGATCTTTGGGGTGTCGATTTTCTTCCCAGAAACCTCTGTGGCCAGTGGTGCCTTTGCATGAGTTCTTGTCCTGCATCCAGGAAGAATGAAGTAGCAGACAAGTGAAGGGTGAAGAAGATGAAGAGGAGCTTTATTTAGTGTTAGAACAGCTCGGAGGATACCTGTAGTGGGTATCTTTTTGCTGTAGGCAGGTTGTCCCATCAAGTGTTCAGCTCTCAGCAGAGAGGACGCCTTGGGGAGGGTGGCTGCTCTCTGCAGGTAGGTCATTCAGAGGTCTCTGCAGGTATCTGAAGCTCTCAGCAGAGACAGCAGCTCCTCTATACAGCTGGTCATCCCATCATCTCTCAGTCTTCTGCCCTCTGCCTCACTCTGGATGAGCCTGGGGCTTTTATGGACCTCAGAGGGGAGGAAGTGCACGGTCCATGGATGGCCATGGGCAGCCTGGAGTGGGCACCACAAGTCCGAACTCCAGTCCTTGGGACTGGCAGCCCAGCCCCCAGCCTTCAGGCCCTCCCTGGCATGAGGGAGGGGCCTTACCAGGGACCCACCCCCTTCTCTCCAGGAATCTGTCTGCCTCCCGCTGCCATTCATGGCCCCCAGGCTTGGCCTCAACCCCACTTGATATCAGAGCAAGGACTAGCAGAGGAGAGAGGCCAGGCAGCCCTGAGCCTGCAGGGATGGGGGACTTTCTCCGGCCCCTGAGGGTGCAAGCTGCAGAGATGCCCAGGTCCTGCACCTGGGAGAGCAGCTGCAGCTGCACCCAGGGAGCTCCTACCCAGCCAACTTAGAAGGGGTGGGGTTCCTGCTTGTCCCCAGTTCCTACCTGCTCCAGGGAGTGGGAGGTCCAGGTCTGCAGCCATGGGTTGGGAGGCTGCAGCTGCATTTGGGAGGGCAGATCCTGCCTGCTCCTGGGCACACCCAACAAGAGCACACCAACAATTGGATCCACAGCTGCAATTTGGGCAGCTATAGCCCTGCCCATGGGGGCAGGGCTCCTACCTGCTCCATAGACTTGGGGGCCTGGGTTGGCAGCCACAGCTTGGGCAGCTACAGCAGCACCTGAGGAGCTTCTGCCCCAGCTCAGAAGGGACGGGGCTCCCACCAGCTCCATGGAGTGTGCAGCCCCAGCCGTGCCTCCTGGCTGCAGCCTACAGCAGGGAAGATGGCAGCAGCTGCTGCCATCAATAGGATTTTAGGTGACCATGCAGGCTGAGCTTCTCATCATGAACTTTGTGTTATGTTAGTCATAAGGTTGGGTATACACTGCAGAAATCGATCATCAAGTGGAAATGCTATAAAAGCATCTGAGCTCAAGGAGATTTCAGATACAAGTAAGTTATATTCCTTTGATATAACACCTCCTACATTAACTCCTCTCCCTCAATTCAGGCCTGTGGCCTCATGGAGAGTTCCACTAGCCCAACTGCCTTAAGAATAAAGAACTAGAGACTGGTTTACAGATGGGTCTGCATCATATATTGACCACACAGAAGTAGAAAGCTGCAGCATAAGACTCCATTAAGGGATGATCTTTGGCAGGGTGGGAGGGGGAATAGTGAAGGAAAATTGTTCAAGTGGGCAAAATTTTGACCAGTATGTTTGGTTGCCCAGTTTGCCATACTAAGAGATAGCTAGAATTAAATATCTACATGACTCATGAGCAGTTGTTAACAGTTTGTCTGGATGGTGAGGGACTTAAAAGGAACCAGACCTAATGATTGGTGACAAAGAACTCTGAAGAAAAGGTATGTGGAAGGAACTCTCAGAGCCAGCACAGAGGGTGAAGATATTTTTGTCTTACATAAATGCTCACCAAATCAGACATCCACTACCAAAGAAGCTCCCAATAACCAAGTGGACAAAATGGTGTACCGTGTTGGTCAGTCAGCTATGTTCCTCAGCCACCCCATTGATTGCTCAATGGGACCCATGAATACAGTGGCCATGGTGGGAGAGATGGAGGCTATTCATGAGCTCAACAATATGGATATCCCCAATGAACTGGACACTGCTCCTGATGGGTTCCTAATCTACTCACAGAAGACACCAACACTGAGGCTCATAGGGAACCATTCCCCAGGGGACCAGCCAGCCACCTGATGGCAGGTTGATTACTCTGGACTTCTTCCACCATTGAGAGATAAGAGATTTTTCCTCACTAGAATAGACACATCTACTGGATAAGGATTTAGCTTTCCTGCCTTAAATGTTTCTGTCAGCACCACTCTCTGCAGACTCATGAAATGTCTCATTAACTGTGCCTGATCAAGGAGCAAATTTTACAGTAAAGGAAGTATAGCAATAGGCCCATGCCCAAGGAATCTTACCACAATACCTCATCACCCAGGAACAGCTGGCTTAATTGAAAGCTAGACTGGCTCACTGAAAAGTCAGCTATGCTGTCAATTGTGAGATAACACCCTGAAAGAATGTTGTCTGTCTTACAAGCTGCAGTATATGCTTTGAACCAGAGATCCCTATATGGTGCCATCTCCCATACAACCAAAACATACGTGTCTGGCAATCAAAGGTGAAAGTGAGAGAAACACACTATTATACGTAGTAAAACACTAGCAGAATTTTTTGCTTCCCATTCAGCAACCTAGAGTTCTTCTGGTTTGGAGGTCTTGGTTCCCAAGAGGGAATTAAAGGATATAACAATGGTTCCATTGATTTGGAAGATAGACTGCCGCTTGACCATTTGGGGTAGCTTACACCACTGAACCAATAAGAAGAAAGGGTTACTCTACTGGCTGAAGTGATTGATCACAATTGCCAATGAGAAATTTGGTTGCTGCTACACAGTGGGGGACAAGGAGAGCTATATCTAGAAGCCTGCATACTTTTCATGCCCAATAGTAAAGTTTAGTTGAAAACTACAGCAAAAAAAAGAAAAAGTCAAGACTCTTGGGGAGTCATACTCTTCAGAAATGATGGTTTGGGTCAGCCTACTAGGATAAGAACCCCATCTAGTTAAGCTTCTGGATGAGGACAAAAAAATGAATGGGAAGTAGAGAAGGAAGACAAAGATAGCTACTGTGACCTTATAACTAATTATAAAGATTGCAGTAGATTTGTATACTTTTTGTATATATACTTATTTGTATATAGTAACTATTTTCTTCTCTGTTCCTCTTTCCCTGATTTTATACACAAGTTGTTGAAGGTTAACTTTATAATTCAGTTATCAGGTAACAAATTTGCAGAATGACTGTGACTAAACTTGGAGGTACTGAATATAATCAGCAATGAATAATGTCTTTTGGGAGTGATTGTTTCCATTTTGGGGAAAGTGTGAGAACTTCTTCACTTGTACAAAGGACAGCTGGAGCTTGTTTCATTGTTGACTGTTCAAATGTGTGTAGAAGGACATATATGGAAGTTGAGTGACCAAAAATGTAGGCTGTGCCAGTTATCAACATATTGCTCAGCTCCAAATCTACCCTTTCTTGCCCTGTTTTGGATACTGGAGCTGGACCCTGTAAAAATTTCTCTTTTGTTAGATGGATTGATGTTAGAATTTGTCAATAGATAATACTGGAAGGACACTAAGAGGTAATAGTAGAAACAAGGGAATTCCTTCCAGTGTGCTATTTTTTTTTTTTTTTTTTTTTGGTGTAGCAGTTGGTTCTCTGGTGTGCAGGAGACTTGATAGCACTCATCTAAGTAGTTCTTGTGGACCACCTCCCACCTATACCCTCTGGCAAGTTGCTCAAACCCACACATTCTGGCAAGTTTCCTAATCGTCTGAATCCATGCCATTCTTAGCTCCTTCCTCAGCCCAAGACGTGGAAGCTGCTTCCTGCAGTTGCTACTTCTGGATGCCCTAAAGTCCTTTCTTTGCCACTTTCAGTCATTACTTTTTACTAGTTAAGTCTTTGTGTTACATTCTCCCTACTTGAATTACTGGTAAGGTTTCTTTTCTCACCAGATGATTTCTGTTCTGTAGGGCCATTGAACACTGATCAATACACCATCTCAAGGTCAGGGCCCTTGTTGTTCCCTCTGCCTGGAACAATCTTCAACTAGACAAGTAAATACTCAAATATAGCTGCTGACTGACTGCTTTTGCTATCCAAACTGTCCTTCCTTTGTGGTTCCTCTGAAGCATCTGAGGTAGCCTCCATCTATCCATTGAAACAAGATGATACAGGCTCAATGACTGGGAACCATTGCCTGCAACCAGGATAAACCCAGGGAGAGTGACCATGAAAGGTTTACTTGTGATGTAAGCAGACATTTGAGTTTTGACTCTTAGTGAACTTGCCTGAGAATAGCATTACCATGACCTACAAACCCTAGGAACAACATCAAGATTCTCTGAGAGCCTATGGTTACAGTCTGTGTGCCCCAAAAATATTTATTGAGCCCCTACTATGTACCAAAAATTAATTATAGGCATTAGGTATACAGCAATATTTGGCTCTGATTCACCCCTAAAGTGTCCCGCAGCTCTGAGAGGTAACCTGTCTTCTACAGAACTACAAACATTCATTGGGTAGAACTTCACCCACAGGGTATTGGCCTTCCCACAAACCCAACTGAGTTTCAAAAAGAGGCCTCCCAGGGCCCTTCAAATAGTTGTGCAGCTTACTCAGTGCACAAAGATGCCTAGCCTAGGATGAGCGTTGAAGTGGCAGCAAGCAACTCCAACTGTTGAGCCTTGTGCCTGCTGAGGTTGTGGAGTCCAGCAGGTCACTTACTTGTAATTGCATATACAATTGATGGTTCTGGGACTTCATGTCCCACCTTGCTGAGCCCAAATCCAAAACAGGATGGATCTATTCAGAACCATGAGCATTTTTTCCAGGGCTAAGAATGCAGGAGCTTTCTTATCTAGGGAGAAGGGGCAGAAGCCACAGCAGCAGTGGTCTCTGTCTCAAGCACTCTCTGCTAAAACATGCTCAGGCCTCCTAAAATATGGCTGGGCCAGATCTTGCAAGAAGCCAAGAATTGTCTCCACTTATGCCTAATGCTGAGGTTACTCAGCCCTTGACTCTTGTACCATTGTGGTGGCTCCAGAGTCAGTGCATTAATTTTCCAATGCTGTGTAACAAATTTCCAAAAACTTAGCATCTTGTAACAACTCATATATCATCTCACAGTTGATATGGAAGACAAAGCATGGGTCCTTTGTCCATGGTTTCACCAAGCAATAATGAAGGTATACACTAGGCTGTATACTCATCTGCAGGCTTGACTGGGGAAGAATTCACTTCAAAGTTCATTAAAGTTATTGGCTGAAGTCAATTCCTTTGCAGTTGTATGACCATGGTCCCCATTTTTCTCCTGGCTGTTAGCTGGTGATAACTCTCAGCTCTAAGAAGCTGCATGAAATTCCTTGCCATTGGCCTTCTCATGACATGGCAACTTACTTCTTCAAAGCCAGCGAGGGAGAGTCTTTTGCTCTAGTCTGCTTAAGTGGACTTCTACATAACATACTGAGAACACAGAAATGACATCCTTTGCCATATCCTATTGGTTAGAAGCAAGTCACAGTCTCTGCCTGCACTCAAAAGGAAAGGATTGGACAAAGGCATGGACACAGGAAGCATAAAATCGCTGGGTGTGATCCTGTGGTCTTTATGGCACAGTCAGCCTCAGGACCAAGACTACACTAGAGGAAAATCCCAAATACATTCAACTAGGTGATCTGGGAATATCATGTTCACTTCGGCAGCACAGAGAGTATCCAGCAAGGCAGGGTTCCTGGGTGCCCCCTGCTGTACATCTCACGCAGAATCCCTGGAAGGATCCCAACCCTCAGGCACAGGATAGGCACTTAAATTACTTTTGGAGTGAATATACATAGTACAGGATGAGGTGACTGATGATACTTTCTTTGCAATGTCATCATTCTAATCCCCATCTTTGCCCCTCTCCAAATGTGTGTTTTGAAAAAAAAAAAGGTTTTACGATTCTATAACAGGAACTTTGTACTTCTTTATCTTTATCTTCATAGGCCTCCTCTTCCTTATGGAATTCTTCATGGCTCAGCTTCACCAAAAACAGGTCAAGGGGAAGTCAGTGGAGTTGGGAGTAGGTGAAGAGGAGGGTGGCTCCGTGGTGGTGATGCAGGAACACATCACTTTTCCGAAGAAATCCATCCTGAACTTTCAGATGCTCTTGCTTTTGTACCTCCTTTACTTCCTCCTGCAGGATGGCAGCTGGTGGGTGTTTCTGTTCCTTCTGTTTCAGCGCCTGCTTATGGTGAGCCAACCCAGCATCCACTGCAGCACCCATGGCTTCCCTAGCCCCTATCTCTGCCTTATACAGGCAATCATGGGGAAGCAGATGTCCGTCTACACCCTCTTCACCTTGTCCTGTGTGACAATCCTCTTCTGCTCAGGTTTCTTCATGTACAGTATCTACCATTACCTGTTAACAGGCCTTTCAAGTTTCAAGTTTTGAACTGATTGAAGTTTGGGAGGAACAACACCCTTCTTAAAGTCTTTTCTCCCTCGCATTATGATGTTTGTATTCCTCTAAATATTGTCTCTGGGACAGGGCCTACTCCTGATTACCTTAGTTGGTTTTCTCGTTTAAAAAATAAACATTTGCAGCTGGGCGTAGTGGCTCACACCTGTAATCCCAGCACTTTGGGAGGCTGAGGTGGGCGGATCACAAGGTCAGGAGTTTGAGACCAGTCTGGCCAATATGGTGAAACCCCGTCTCTCCTAAAAAATACAAAAAATTGCTGGGCATGGTGGCGTGCGCGTGTAGTGCCAGCTACTCAGGAGGCTGAGGCAGGAGAATTGCTTGAACCCGAGAGGCAGAGGTTGCAGTGAGCCGAGATCGCGCCACTGCACTGCAGCCTGGGTGACAGAGTGAGACTCTGTCTCAAAATAAGTAAATAAACATTTGCTGTTCTAGTTTTCTCTATATATAGTGATGCTAAGAGTGTCTATGGGTGGATGGCATACAGTTGATAACATTGCAGAGCTCTTTCACACAGATTATGTAATTTGGTCATCACCAGAAGACTGTGACATTCAGCTTTCCTTCAGTATCTTCAAATCTGGAAGAGTTTTCAGAATCTTAGAACTAAGAGCTTGAGATTTATTTAATTGTACTCTGGCTTCTCCAGCACTAATCCTAAATATAGAGAAGATAATTCTTCTCGAAAGGAAAATTCTTTGCTAGACTTGCCGGGTAGGTTTACCTTGGTTCTGCCCTGTGGGATTCCCCAAGCTCCTAGGTGTGGGCTCAGTCTTAACACCTCACTTGAGTCTCCAGCGAGGACTAAATAAATCTGGATGAGTCCCAATGGGAAGAGGATGGTGTGGCCAGTCCCACTAGGAGAGGATGAGGTTCAGTGGAAACAAACCACTAAATTTCACTGTACTTAGAATCCTGCCTTACTCCCAGAACTGACCCATCTATCTTGAGGTATGCTGCAGCCAGCCCAGGTCTACCAGGTCTACCACTCTTTGGGGCTCCCTGCTGAGACCTGTTGTTTGGACTTGCAAACACAAGGGAGTTGGACCAGACATGGCTAAAGATCTTCAGATTTGGGGTGAATCGAAAATGGCTGAAGGTCTTCACGTTCAAAGCAGTAGGGGATGTTGCCATGGCACCAGAAATCTTCATGGATGTGAGTTGGGGGATGCTGACCACATGCACCACTGCCCCGCATATGGCAATTAAGGCAAATCACTGCCAAACCACTGCTACCGACTAAAGTAGCAGCAGATTTGTCAACGCCCAAGCACAGCACAGGGATGGGTCCAGCCACTGCTCCTGCAGCCATCTCCTCCGACTCTCAGGAGAGTCACACACTCAGACCAGAAGAACTGTGACAGCACCTAGGAGGGAAGGAAAGCCGGAAAATTTGGAGTCAGATAGGGAGAATGGCTGCCAAGAAGTCTGCTCAAGTTTAGACCCATCACTGCTCTCAGCTCCATATCCCTCCTTGTGTTCCCACGATGTGGTTCTTCCTCCCTCTAGGTTTCAGCCTCTGATGAAGGCTGTCCACCTTTGGACACCACACGGCCCTACTGTCCCTTTTCTCTGGGACTGGATCTTGCCTGGCCCGCTGAGTCTCCGGCCCACTGCCGCGGTTCTGAGCTTCGCAGGTTCCCTCCCATCCCATGAGGCCTCGCGCCCAATGGAAACGCACAACGGAAATCTTCGTCCCGCCCACTGCCTCTCCATCCCTCAGACTCTTCTGGAGCGGTGCCATTGGCTGTGCCCTCTGCCTGTCTCCAGGGTCTTCATGAATCACCAGTCTCAGAAAAGCAGGTGCTGGAGAACCTGCAGCCCAAGTCTACAGCAGTTTAGATGGCAGCTTTTCCTGGGGTTCAGGAGCCTGCTCTGAAGATTGGGCCAAGGCCCTGGGGATACTCATGGCCCAATCTATCTTTTCTTTCAGTCCGCTCCAGAATTCAGATTTCCAACCGTCTGAACTCGGCATAGATCATCAGCAGATCCAACAAAAGGAGCTTGGGAACATTTTCTATCCCTTTCAAACCTCCAACTGCTCTGTCCCGCACTCCCCTTCATCTCCTACTTTAAATGGAAAAAAATAGACATTGTCAGCCAGGAAACACCTTCGTTTTCCTTCCAAATCCACTAACCTATTTTCATCTGTGTTTATCTTTCTTCCCTCTTGTCACAAGGCAGAAGGGCAGCGACCCTTCGCATGGGGGGAGGCCAGTCTTCCCTTGTGAGTTCCCGATCCCATCCCCATGCCGTCTCAGAGACCCTGCCCCACTGCTTAGCCCCTCTGCTCCCTGAATCCTGTCACTGCCTCTCTAACGGGACCTTGCCATCAGCATCCGAACAGTGCCTCCTTTCTGACCGTCCCTATCCACAACACACTCTGTCCTCTTCACAGTCAAGCCCTTTGAAGAGCAGACACCTGCCCACACGCGCTGCCTCCACCTCCCCACCTTGGAGTCACCTTCCACTCCTCCCATTTGGTGAGGTCAGAATCTTCATTTCAATTAGGAGAATGATGTGCTTGCTTTAATCAAGCAATGAGAATAATTCACTGTATGTTTGTCTTGGCTGAAATCTCAGTGCTTCATATTTAGAGTAATTCTATTGGACTAGGTTAATAATATATTTCTTTTTATTTCCTGATACTTTACATTTTACGGTTTGATACTATAGATCATATTATAATCTACCATAAATTCTTTAGAGTTAAAATTTCTACAAAGACAAACACCTGGCTCAATTTGTGTTTAACTCAAAAAGCAATTTCAAGGAAATGATTATGTAAAGTATGGTAAAAAAAAATGTGAAAACATGGTATGTACTCATTTAGCTCTAAATCCTCAGTGACTAGCATAGAGTAGATCTCAATAAGTGTTTGTTGAGCGTGCAAATGAATGCTATAAAGCTGAGAGGAAAAGCTACAAAATGCTATGTACTTGATAACCACAGCGTTGCTTATCTATGTATGCCCACCACCACAGGCTAGAAACGAAAAAAGGAAAATAAGTGAATCATTGGGATGAGGGAGCTGTAGGTGGATTTCTTCCCTTTTTATTTAATAGTATTACAGTGAATATAAACTGGAGGGGGCACTGCACTAGAGCTCTCTATAATACAATTCTACACTCTTCATGCTTAATTTGGCAGAAGATATGGTTTTGGTTATATATTGCTGCAAATCAAGCCATTTCAAAACCTTATGACTTAGAACAACAATGATTATTATGACCCAATGATTCTCTGGGTCTGGGCAGGACCTGGTTGGCCTGCTCTGTCCCACGTGGCATCAGGCTGGGTGTCTCATGAAATCATGGTGGACGGCAGCTGGGCTGAACTGGAAGGCCATTCACACAGCAAGTGTTCAGCCTCCCACATGGCCTCCCTCACCGCATGTGCTGCCTCTTCATTCAGTCTTTTACCTTAAGCTTCTTCATCACATGCATCTGGCTCCCCTAGAGAGCATAAACATCGTCATGACATTGCCTTGGAAGCCTACACAACATCATTTCTGTAATCTCAGACTCAGGGGAAGAGAAAGAGATGCCACCACTTGATGGGAGGAAAGACAAGCTCTCCTTGCAAAAATCCTGCAAGGTGGGAGACAGAGATATTGTCATTTTTGGAAACAGTCTGCTGCTGGTGCTTTAATGATGTTTTATTCCTGAAGTTACAGAGAAACCTATTTCAATGCACTCCTGCTTAGCAGACAGCCTAGTGAGTATACTCTAAGGGTAGAGTTTTCTGTAAACCTGAGTGTTCATTTTAAATAGCTCAATTGAAATAAACTAAAAAATGAGCAGCAGTGTCTGGAGCAGGTGTGAGGGTTACCTGAGGCTGTCCAGAGGCAATGAGCCTAAGGCGGGAGCCTTTACCTGATCTGCCCACCACGGGTTCCTGAATCTTGATCACAGTCACCAGGAGACACCCCACTGATCCATTTCTCTCTCTCTACAGTACTACCTGGAGGTTTTATTTTTTTCACTTGGAATATCATAAGCAAGATTTTCAGTGTGGTCATTTTTATTGTGGTAAAATACACATAACATACAATTTACCATCTTACCCATTTTTAAGTTTACAGATCTATGGCATTCACCACCATATGCCTCTAGAACATTCTCACCTTCCCAAACTGAAACTCTCTACCTATTAAACATGAGCTCCCCATTCTCTCTTCCCCTTAGCCTTTGGCAAACATTGTTTAACTCTCTATCTCCATGAATTTGATGAGTCTAGGAAGCTCATATAAAAGGAATTATACAGTGTTTCTCCTTTAGTGCCTGGCTTAATTCACTTAGCATAATATCCTCAAGGTTCCTCTATGTTGCAGTGTGTGCTAGAGTTTCTTTCCTTTTTAAGGCTAAATAATTTTCACTTATATCCGTAGCACACTATGTTTATCCATTCATCCATCAGTGAGCTCTTGGGTTGTTTCCATCTTTTAGCTATTGTAAATAAGCCTGTTGTGAACATACATGCACAAATATTAAAAATGATTTTAAAACAATAATTAATTCAGCCAACATGTATTGAACATCTACCATGTGTCAGGTGCTGTGCTGGGTGCTGGGGATACAACAAGACTGCAGACACAGCCGCCCTGCCTCCCAGAGCTTAGTGTCTAATGTGGGAGACTACAGGCAACTTCAGCTTAGTGGAATAACTGTCAGCAGAGGGGGAACAGGCACCTGTGAGCACACGGGCTAGATCCCACCCAACCTCCAAAAAAAGGTTTCCAGATTGTGTGGCTTGGAACCTGAGCTCTGAAAAGTGAGTCTTGGACTAGGTTCATGATATATTTCTTTTTATTTCCTGATACTTTACATTTTATAGTTTGATACTGTAGATCATATTATAATCTACCATAAATTCTTTAGAGCTAAAATTTCTATGAAGACAAACACCTGGCTCAATTTGTGTTTAACTCAAAAAGCAATTTCAAGGAAATGATTATGTAAAGTATGGTAAAAAAATGTGAAAACATGGTATGTACTCATTTAGCTCTAAATCTTCAGTGACTAGCATAGAGTATATCTCAATAAGTGTTTGTTGTATACGTATAAGAGTGTGGGAGCAGACAGGAGCAGGCAGAGCAGCATGGGCAGAGACCCAGAGACATCTGGGTCAGAGGATAAAAAGGTGGGGTTGGCAAGCACTCAGGCAGAGCGAAATGCAGGAGCTAGAGCAGACAATGTTGGCCCTGTGAACCTGTTATCAAATTTGGGTTTGTCTTAATCATAGGTAGTCACTGAAACCCTTCAAGTAGGAAAGTGACAGGATCTAGTCTACATTTTACACAATCAGCCTGTCTGTAGTGTGAGAGTGGATTGGACTGGATAAAGCAGGAAGCTACTGTTCAAATCCAAGCCATCAAAGACGGAGGTCTGAACTAATCAGATAGTGGGGAAGGCAGGTAAGGCACATCTGGTGGCTGACTGAAAGTAGGAAGGGAGGGAGAAGGTGGCATCAAGGAAAGAAAACCAGAGATAATTATTAAACAGTGAATTCAAGTATAAATAGAAGTGCAGCAAAACATGGATGCTGCCAAGTAGGGGGTCTGGTGTTGACGTTCAGTCCTTCTCCAAAGATAGGGGTTTTACCTTTGTCCTCTTGTCTGTTCAGATTTTCCTTCATCAGCCTGATTTGCTACAACCTTCTTGACCTCCACTATGACCCACATCAAAAGTGCTACCATCTTCAGAGCATGATCTATGTTCCGCAGTCCTCAAAATACTGTGTTATGTATTTTGTTTTTTGTTTGTTTGTTTGTTTTTTGAGACAGAGTTTTGCTCTTATTGGCCAGGCTAGAGTGCAATAGCGCGATCTCGGCTCACTGCAACCTCCTCCTCCTGGGTTCAAGTGATTGTCTTACCTCCGCCTCCTGAGTAGCTGGGATTACAGGCATGCGCCACCATGCCCGGCTAATTTTTGTATTTTTATGGAGTTTCACCATATTGGTCAGGCTGGTCTTGAACTCCTGACCTCATGTGATCCACCCACCTTGGCCTTCCAAAGTGCTGGAATTACAGGTATGAGCCACTGCACCCAGCCTGTTATATATTTCAAATTCACATGTTGAAGCCCTAATCTCTAATATGACTATTTGAGATAGGGCCTATAAGGAGGTAATAAAGGTTAAATGAGGTCATAAGTATTGGCCCTTAACCTGATAGGGCCTCTTAATCTATTGGGTCTCAATATGATGTCCTTACAAGCAGGGGAAGAGGCACCAGATATCTCTTTTTCTGCCTGTGCACAGAGAAGAGGCCATGAGAAGACATAGCAAGAAGGCAACCATATGCAAGCCAGGAAGAGAGCCTTCACCAGAATCCAACCCTGACAGGACCTTGATCCTGGACCTCCAGGCTTCAGAACTGTTGTTTAAGCTACTAGTCTGTGATATTTTGTTCTGGCAGCCTGAACAACCTAATACACAGTCTTAAGAGGTAGATATCATCCCCATTTATAGATGAAGAAACTGAGGCTCAGAGGGTTTGACTTTACTAAGATTGAAGGGTAGTAAGCCACTCTGAGCATGTCCTGGATGTAGTGCCATGCCCTGTAATGTACCATCCAATGAGACCAGGAATCAACTGGGCCTTCACTTGACCAAAGGATGATATATAGGCCTATCATTGATACGTTAGTGTGAGCAACAAATGCCAGAACCAGATGATACCAGTTGCAAACACTAGACCACAGCCAGGAAAGACCATTTCATGTCATGACATCACCATCTTGTTTGAGTGAATGCTGCAGCTACCATTGTGGGGCATTGCTAGAGACCATGTCCTGGCATGTGGGAAACTACAACTACTGACCCAATCAAGGAACTCAATTCACCCTCCTCAATATACAGGATTGGCTGCGTTTCTGGACACAATCTGGACTTTCTACCCATTGTACCATCTGTAAGAGGCAGTGGGGTAAATAAAATATAGAAATTAAAGAGAAGGCCAAAGTATCACTTGACATTAGCATAAAGTAAGTCAAATCAATAAAAAGACAACTCAAAAATAGGCAAGTTACCTGAATCCATACTTTACTCCTTTGAGACAAGCACTTTATAAACATTACATTGCTCAGTTATCAAAATGGCTGTATAAACCTGGTATTGTTGTCATCCCTTTTTCCCAGAGAAAACTGAAGTAGAGGGAAATAAGTCTCTGAGGGCACATGGCCAACCAGAGAACCAGGATCTAGAAATGCAGGACACAGAAGTGCAGAGCCCATACTTCTAACCTTTAAGGACTATGAAGGAGCAGAGAGGAATTGGGATGAGGTGGTCACAGCAGTGGCTGAAGGAAGCTAAAAGAAGGAAAAATTTCTCCTCCAAAGGAGTAGAACAATGTTGCTTAGATCTTCGCCCTGACTACACTTTCCTCAAAACTCTGCACTCAACCTTCCTGCTTAGTTCCACATCTTATCTTGCCCTCGGACTGGTCCATTCCCAACGAGTTGACAAATTCATGTCCACTCAGAACCTCGAATGTGACCTTGTTTGCAAACAGGGTCTTTGTAGATGTAACCAAACTAAGGGAAGTTCATAGTGGATTAGAGTGGGCCCTCCCAAATCCAATATTTGCTGTTCTTAAGAAAACACAAACACACACACACACACACACACACACACACGGAAGAATGTGTCATGTAAAAGTGGAGGCAGAGATTGGAGTGGTGTATCTACAAGGTAAGGGACACCAAGGGTTGCCAAGAACCACCAGGATCCAGGAGAGAGCCATGGAACAGAATCTCTCTCAAAGCCTCCAGTAGAAACTAATCCTGCTAACATCTGGACTTTGTACTTCCAGAGTTCACATCTGTGAGAAAATAAATTTCTGTTGTATTAAGCTAGCCATTTGTGGCATGTTATTACAGGAGCCCTAGAAAACCAACCCAGTGATTTCAAGGGCTCCTTGAAAGTATGGCATTTTCACAATATTAATTCTTCCTATCCGTGGGCATGAAATAGTTTTTCATTTGTTTGTGTCCTCTCTGATTTCTTTGAGCAGTGGTTTGTAGTTCTCCTTGAAGTGGTCCTTCACATCCCTTGTTAGCTGTATTTTATTCTCTTTGTAGCAGTTGTGAATGGGAATTAGTTCATGATTTGGCTCTCTATTTGCCTATTACTGGTGTATAGGAATGCTAGTGGTTTTTGCACATTGATTTTGTATCCTGAGACTTTGCTAAAGTTGCTTATCAGTTCAAGAAGGTTTTGGGCTGAGATGATTGGGTTTTCTAGATATAAGGTCATGTCATCTGCAAACAAAGATAATTTGACTTCCTCCCTTCCTATATGAATACCCTTTCTTTCTTTCTTTTGCCCGATTGCCCTGGCCAGAACTTCAATACTATGTTGAATAGGAGTGGTGAGAGAAGGGATCCCTGTGTTGTGCCAGTTTTCAAGGGGAATGCTTCCAGGTTTTGCCCATTCTGTATAATATTAACTGTAGGTGTGTCATATATGGCTCTTATTATTTTGAGGTATGTTCTTTCAATACCTAGTTTATTGAGAGTTTTTAACATGAAGCGATGTTGAACTTTATCAAAGGCCTTTCCTTCACCTATTGAAATAGCTGTGTGGTTTTGTCTTTAGTTCTGTTTCATGTGATGAATCACACTTACTGATTTGGGTACGTTGAGCCAACCATGGGAAGAAAACCAAGTTGATCATGGTGGATAAGCTTTTTGATGTGCTGCTGGACTCGGTTTGCCAGTATTTTATTGAGGATTTTTGCATCGATATTCATCGGGGATATTGGCCTGAAGTTTTATTTGTTGTATCTCTGCCAGCGTTTGTTATCAGGATGATGCTGTCCTCATAAAATGAGTTAGGGAGGAATCCCTCCTTTTCAATGTTTTGGACTAGTTTCAGTAGAAATGGTACTAGCTCTTCTTTGTACCTGTGGTAGAATTCAGCTATAAATTTATCTGGTCCTGGGATTTTTGTAGTTGGTAGGTTATTTTTTACTGCCTCAATTTCAGAACATGTTATTGGTCTATGCAGGGATTCAATTTCTTCCTGGTTCAGTCTTGGCAGGGTATATGTGTCCAGGAATTTATCAATTTTTCTAGATTTTCTAGTTTATGTGCATAGAGGTGTTTATAGTATTCTCTAATGGTTGTTTGTATTTCTGTGGGGTTGGTGGTGATATCCCCCTTATCATTTCTGATTGTGTTTCTTTGATTCTTCTTTCTTTTCTTCTTTATTAGTCTAGCAAGCAATGTATCTATTTTTTTTTTCCCAAAAAAACAGCTCCTGGATTTGCTGATTTTTTTGAAGGGTTTTTTTGTGTCTTCATCTCCTTCAGTTCTGCTCTGACATTGACTATTTCTTGTCTTCTGCTAGCCTTGGGGTTTGTTTGCTCTTGGTTCTCTAATTCTTTTAGTTATAATGTTAGTATGTTAACTTGAGATATTTCTAGCTTTTTGATGTGGGCATTTAGTGTTATAAATTTCTCAACATTGCCCTAGCTGTGCCCCAGAAATCCTGGTATGCTATCTCTTTGTTCTCACTAGTTTCAAAGAACTTCTTGATTTCTGTCTTAATTTCATGATTTACCCAGGAGTCATTCATGAGCAGGTTGTTCAATTTCCATGTAGTTATGTGGTTTTGATTGAATTTCTTAATCTTGATTGTGCTGTAGTCTGAGAGACTGTTTGTTATGATTTTAGCTCTTTTGAATTTCCTGAGGAGTGTTTTACTTCCGATTATGTGATCAATTTTAGAGTAAGTGCCATGTGGTACTGAGAAGAATGTATATTCTGTTGTTTTTGGGTGGAGAGTTCTGTAGATATATATCATGTCCACTTGATCCAGAGCTGAGTTCAGGTCCTGAATATCATTGTTAATTTTCTGTCTTGATGATCTAATTTTGTAAATGGGATATTAATGTCTCCTACTATTGTTGTGTGGGAGTCTAACCCTCTTTGTAGATCTCTAAGAACTTGCTTTATGAATCTGGGTGTTCCTGTGTTGGGTACATTTATATTTAGGATAGTTTGCTCTTCTTGTTGAATTGAACCATTTACCATTATGTAATGCCCTTCTTTGACTTTTTTGATCTTTGTTGGTTTTAAATCTGTTTTGTCAGAAAATAGGATTGTGACCTCTGTTTTTTTCTGTTTTCCATTTGTTTGAATAAATTTTCCTTCACCTTTTTATTTTGAGCCTATGTGTCTCTTTGCATGTGAGATGGGTCTCTTGAGAGCAGCATACCAATCAGTCTTGGCTCTATCCAGCTTGCTATTCTATGTCTTTTATTTGGGGGCATTTAGTCCATTTACATTTAAGGTTACTATTGTCATGTGTGAATTTGATCGTGTCATCATGATGCTAGCTGGTTATTTTGCAGACTTGTTTATGTGGTTGCTTCATAGTGTCACTGGCCTGTGTAATTCAGTGTGTTTCTTTAGTGGCTGGTAATGGTTTTTCCTTTCTATATTTAGTGCTTCTTTCAGGAGTTCTTGCCAGACAGGCCTGGTGGTGACAAATTCCTTCAGCATTTTCTTGTCTGAAAAGCATCTTATTTCTCCTTCACTTATGAAGCTTAGTTTGGTCAGATATAATATTCTGGGTTGGAAATTATTTAAGAATGTTGACTATTGGCTTCCAATTTCTTCTGGCTTGTAGGGTTTCTGCTGAAAGGTCCATTGTTAGTCTGTTGGGCTTCCCTTTGTAGGTGACCTGGCCCTTCTCTCTGGCTGTCCTGAACATTTTTTCTTTCATTTTCATCTTGGAGAATCTGATGATTATGTGTCTTGGGGTTGATTTTCATGAAGTATCTTACTGGAGTTCTCTGGATTCCCTGAATTTGAATGTTGACCTGTCTTGCTAGCTGAGTAAGTTCTCTTGGATCACATCCTGAAGTATGTTTTCCAATTTGGTTCCATTTCCCACCCCACATCTCTTTCATATACCCTAATCAGTCACAGATTGGGTCTTTTTACATAATACCATAGTTCTTGGAGATTTTGTTCATTTCTTTTTATTCTTTTTTCTCTATCCTGTCTGCCTGGCTTATTTTAGATAGATAGTCTTTAAGCTCTGATATTCTTTCCTCTGCTTTGTCTATTCTGCTATTGATACTTGTGATTACACTTGAAGATCTCTAGTTGTGTTTTGTCAGCTCCATCAGGTGGGTTATATTCCTGTCTAAACTGGCTATTCTGGTTATCAGATCCGGTATTGTTTTATCATGATTCTTAGCTTCTTTGCATTGGGTTACAACATGCTTCTTTAGCTCATTGAAGTTCGTTATTACTCACCTTCTGAAGCCTACTTCTGTCAATTCAGCCATCTCAGCCTCAGACCAACTCTATGCTCTTGCTGGAGAGGTGTTGCAGTTATTTGGAGGAGAACTAGCACTCTGGCTCTTTCAGTGAGTTTTCAGGGTTTTTGTGTTGATTCTTTCTCATCTTTGTGAGCTTATCTACCTTTGATCTTTCAGGTTGCTGACCTTTGAATAGGGTTTTTGTAGGATCCTTTTGTTGATATTGTAGTAGTTGTTGTTTTCTGTTTGTTGTTTTTCTTTTAACAGGAAGGTCACTCTTCCTTAGGGCTGCTGTGGTTTTCTGGGGGTTTGCTCCAGACCTTTCTTGTACTTGGAGCTATCACCAGTGAAGGCTGCAAAATAGCAAAAATGGCAACCTGCACCTTTCTATGAAAGCTCTGTCACAGAGGGTATGACATGTTGCTGGCCCAAATGCTCTTGTATGAGGTGTCTGGAGAACCCTATTGAGAGGTCTAACCCAGTCAGGAGGAATGGGATCAGAGACCTGCTTAAAGAAGCAGTCTGGCTGCTTTTTGGTAGAGCAGGTGTGCTGCATTGGGGTTGGGCAGCACTTTTCCTCATCTTGACGGCCTAGACTCTCCAGAGCCAGCAGGATGTAATGGCTGAGTTGACCAAACCACAGATATGGCGGCTGCCCCTCCCCACAGGAACTTGGTCCCATCTTAGGTAGTCTCTGGCCTGTTGCCACTGGCTGGCTGGAATTCCAAGCCAGTGGGTTTTAACTTGTGAGGTGCCCTGGAAGTAGGGCCTGCAGAATGACACTGCTTGGCTCCCTGGATTCAGCCCCCTTCCTAGGGGAATGTCTGGACAGATCTCCCACCTTGCCAGGATTCCTGGGGCTGGAGTATATAAAGCTCCTGGATCTCTGTGTGTGCTTGTGCAGCTGCTTTGCTGAGCATCCACACAACTCTGTGTATCAGACCCAAGGCCCTGGTGACATGGTCTCACGAGGGGATCTCCTGATCCACAGGTTGCAAAGATCCATGGGAGAAGCATGGTTTCCTGGGTGGGGTTGCACAATCACTCACTGCTTCCCTTGGCTTGGGATGGAGGTTCCTTTGCCTCTGTGCTGCTCCTGGGTGGGCCGTCGCCCCACCCTGCTTTTCTTCGTTCTCTGTGGTTTGAGTTGTTTGCCTAGTCAGTCCCAATGTGAGAACTTGGATATTTCAGTTGAAGGTGCTGAATTCACTTGCTATTTTCATTCCTCTCCATGAGAGCCGTGGACTGCAGCTGCTTCTAATAGGCTATCTTGGCCCCTCCTCACCAGGCGTAGGAGTTTGATAACAGCATGGGCAACATAGTGAGACCCCATCTCTACAAAAACTAAAAAATTAGCTGGATGTGGTGGTGTGCCTGTAGTCCTAGCTACTCAGGGGGCTGAGGTGGGAGTATTTCTTGAGCCCAGTTGTTAAAAGCTGCAGTGAGCCATGATCATGACATTGTACTCCAGCCTGGGCAACAAAGTGAGACCCTGTCTCTAAAAAAAATAATAAAAACAAGAAAAGGCATTTCTTTCTTTCTGGGGCTTTGAGACCAGAGCTTTGAGGAATCTACTGATCATTTGGCTCAGCAAGGAAGTAGGGGCAAACTAGGTGCTAGTATCTATGTCAACCTTTTTTCAGGATGGTATTGACCAAACATGAGATAGGCTCTAGAGAATCATTCTTCACACCTTCAAGAGCTAAAACCAGGAGAGGGTCGACTCAGACTGCAGCCCCCTAAAGACTGACTACCCAACCCCATTCTTTAACACCCCACATATCAGGTCATTATTGTAGAATTCCATTTAGAACAATTTTTGACACTATAAAAGTAATACTTGTTTCATTGTATGAAATATTTAAAATACAAATTATTTTTTTAAGAAAAGGAAGAAAAATCATTCACTGCCAGAGACAACACTGATATTTTGGTACCTATTCTGGTAGTATATATTTTTTAAATACCTAATATAGGCAGAATTTATTTTGACAAAAATAAGGTTAACAATTTTTTTCTTCCCATAAAATATTCCTCTATACAGCATAATCACCAATCACAGGAGTCTATCACAGTTTTTTTCTTCTTCTTTTTTTTTTTTTTGTAAGAAACAGGGTCTCATTATGTCACCCAGGCTGGAGTGCAGTGGTGGGATTATAATTCATGGTAGCTTTAAATTCCTGGGCTCAAGTGATCCTCCCACCTCAGTGTCTAGAGTCACTGTAGTTCCAGGCCTGCACTACTGTTAATCAACCACTGTTTCTTAGGCTTGTATGCAATAAAAATTGATATGAGGCTCAGAAAGTTTCCCAGACAAGGCTTTATTAAGACTTATGCTCAAGCACAAGGGAGACAGCATAAGAGCAAGAGTTCTCTGGCTGGCTCTCTGAGGACAGGTCTTCGTGGTGTTTTAGGAAGGGTGACAGGAATAAACATGAGGTATGTGAGCATCATTACATTTGCAGGGCAGAGTGCAGGGTGCACAGATGCAGTGGGAAGTCATGTTAGTATGTACATCACAAGATCGAATAATGGCAGAAAAGCCCCTCCTAGGGTGAGGATTTTATTATAATGAGGCAAGAGATTAAGATCTATCATTTTCCTGGACTTATATACATGAGGGCAATAGGGTTAATTCCCTTGAGTAAGATTTATGGTGCAATGCTTCTTATCTTAGTTTTCTCACATAGTTTTTAAGGTCTTGTGATCAGCAGGTATGGTGACAATGGGGTAGTGCCAGGTCTGGTGGTTAGTGAGTATGTGTGGAAAAATACTCACTAAATACCAAAATACTAAATACAAAAATAGTAGGAGTGGAGCCCAGTCCCATCCCTGCTGTTTCACCGTAACGCCTGGCTAATTTTTTAATCTATATATTTTGTAGAGACAGTTAGTTGCTACATTGTCCAGGCTGGTCTCTGTAAACCAAATAAAACTCTAAGCCTTCCAACCAATGAATGGACTCCCCTCTTGGCCAAAGGGATCCCAAAGAAACCTGAGAAACCAGTTCAGGCTATGACAGGAAGTGTGGGTTTGTCATGACTCGTTATACCCTCTTCTTGTTGGAGTTTAGGCACAACTGACTTGCATTAACATTAAAATAGAGATAATAAGACTGACAAAATAGACTCTATGTAGCAATAAGATACCCAGCTCCAACATGACTCTGGTATAGCATCACATGACAGATAGCAGGCCCTGAAAAAATCAAGTATTTTACCCCCAAATATACTTTCTTTGGCATATTTTGAAATGACCCTGTAAAGCCATCTCTTGTGGTGGAAATTTGCATTCTTTATAAAATCTCCTTCCTTTACTAGTTCTTTACCAGACAGTCTGACACCACTTAAAGTTGACAAGAGACAAGATCTATTCTCTCTGAAGCCTGTTAATTAGAGGCTTCATCTAAATAACAAGAACCTTGGCTTCCACAACCCTTTTTATCTTAACTCAAACATTTCTTTCTGTTGCCTTCAACTCTTTAGGCAAAGCTTAACTCTTTCAACCAACTGCCAATCAGGAAATCTTGGAATCTGCCTATGACCTAGAAAACCAGATTCCCCAAATTCATGATGTCCCACCTTTCTGGGCTGAAGCAATGGATGGAAGTTCCCAGCAGTGATGTTGAGTTGCATAGAACATCACTTTATCATACAAAGCTGCCAGTAGCACCATCTTCACTACTTCCAGGGCACAACTGAAGGCCACCTCTATTGGGTTTGTGAAAAGGACAAAAAGATGGACCAGATGTTATGCCCTGGTTTGCACCCTTCTGCTGGCAAGCTAGGAGACAGTTCTCAGCCCTTTCATGATTGGGTTCTGCTGTCCTGCTGATAGAAAGTCATGGCTCTACGGGACCCATCTTCAATTACCCATCCACTCATCCTTTCACCCCGCCCCTCTTCCAGCCACTGAGTGGGCTAAAAGGGGCAATGGAGATATCCTAGTGCTGTGGTTTTCAAATTCTTCTCTCTGGGGGACAGAAAAAGGGTTGGAATCTCTCTTCACTTCCACAACCACCTAATCAGAATGTCTCTGATTTATTGGTTCCATTTGTTTTCATTTTTATACAAGGTTTTGTTTAAATTGAATGTTCTTAATTTTTTTTTTTTTTTTGAGACAGAGTTTCACTCTTGTTGCCCAGGCTGAAGTGCAATGGTGCAATCTTGGCTCACTGCAACCTCTGCCTTCTGGGTTCAAGTGATTCTTTTGCTTCAGCCTTCCCAAGTAGCTAGGATTACAGGCATGCACCACCATGCCTGCTTAATTTTTTTGTATTTTTAGTAGCGACGGGGTTTCTCCATGTTGGTCAGGCTGGTCTTGGAACTTCCGACCTCAAGTGTTCCTCCTGCCTACCAAAGTGCTGGGATTACAGGCGTGAGCCACCGCGCCTGGCCCGAATGTTCTGAATTTTAAAGAAGGAGTGATAACCACTTATTTAGGACTCCCATTTTACAGATAAGGAAACAGAATTCTAACAGTAACTCATATAAGAAGATGCAGCTAATGGCAAAACTAAGCCAGAGGCCATCAAGGTTGACTCAAATGCCCAAAACTGCATGGAGAAAATGACACAGCCTTGCCCCCGTCTAATCGAATCTCTTATGTGTAGAGTTATGAACATGGATAAAAACCATTGTGTGGGTCAGTAGAAGAGTGCATGTAATACAAGGATTCATGAAATTGGTCCACTGCCCATATCACCCTGAACGTGCCGGGTCTCATCTGATCTTGGAAGCTAAGCAGAGTCAGGCCTGGTTAGTCCTTGGATGGGAGAGTAATGGGATTCATGAAATTGGAACACCTGCGAGAGTACTCCAGTGTACGATGCTGCAGCACCCATGCTATAGTCCACTCTTCTCTTCCTTGCCTCCCTGAGGGACCCACATCTGGTTGTCCAGGGCCCTCAGGAAATTGCCTCATTTCCTTTCTCTATTCCCTGGTGGTTAGGCTTACCTAATGGGGTCAGAGTTGCTTTTGCTTCCCAGGGGCCCCTCCTTGCTGTGTTCTACCATCTTCTGGGGAGCATTTTGCTAAATCGCCCAGCAGTGATGACACAGCACAGCCAGCAGCAGCTGTAGGTAGAGCTCCTGGACTGCCTCCTGGCACAGGAATCCTGACAACATCTGACACAAGGCCCACAATACCTGGGAGGAGGGAAGCAGAGTTGAACAGACCTGGGCTGTGATCCCTCACACTGAAAGCCCAGGCAAGAATCCCACCCTGTCTTCCCAATGGGCACAGCTCACTCTAGCTCAGTCTAGTAAGAAACATCCAAAGACTGAAAACCCACACCTTATCCCTAGGGAAATGAGGAGGGCACACACGTAATCTGATTTCTCTTCTGCTTATTTGACATTCAAAAGGAAAAGGGAACCAGCTCTAAGTTTTCAGCAGATGATTTTTGGCATACTTTTGTCCACCCCAATTCCAGGCAACCAAACCTCCTCCTTTCTCATCCCTCATGTGACACCACCAGGCCTTCAGTAAAATGATTCCAGCCCCAGAATCAGGAGAGGAGATAGCTGATTATTCCTGCATGCCAGTTGCCTTGTTAAAAAAAATGGGATTGATCGCTGCCCTTTCTCCACCATGCAATTCTTAGATCAGTTCTTAGCTCTGGCCTGGGCTCCTGTTCAATCCCTCTCCCCCTACCAGCCTGTCACCCCCACCATGTGAAAAACCCAGCCCTTCCCGGTGCAGCCACCTTGTCTCCAGGGACAGGATAGAAAATTCCTACCTAGGCTGCAAGGTTAATGGGACACCGGGGCTGGGCCTGGAGGGGGTGTGGGGCTGGGGAGGCTGGCTGAGGCCAGCATTTGCATTTCCTGAACTAGGGGATTAGAGGCCATACTGTGGCCTTATTTGTACTTCTCTGTGTCTACATCTACGAAGAAAGATAATTTTTAAACAGTAAAATGACAGATTCTGAATCTGTCTGGAACTTTACAGGTCATAAAGGCCTCTACCAGTTGATTATTATAAAGATTGAAGGACATGCAGACTTTCCTTCTGGAACATACGTGTGTGTCTAAGGGAGGGATGAATGAGTGAGTGACCCAAGGACAAAGCCATTCTTTGCTGACCTTGAGGACAACATCTAACACTGTGGGTGCTGCATGTGGTTTTCCCAGTGGAGCTCAAAACCCCAGTGAAAAAGCCACAGTTCCTGGGAAGTGTTATGGATTCTATGATAGCATTACTTTTTATAAGCGATTAATACCCAAATTCACCATGTTCAAAAACAGAGTTCTGAATGATTCACTCCTCCACCCCAAACCAGCTTTGCCTCTCTTCTTCATCTAACTAAATGGCCCCACCATCCATCCAGAGTTGCTCAGCCCAAAACCCTAGAGGTCCATCTTCAATTCCCTTCTCCTGCCTAACTCACATCCAATCCACTGTAATGTCTTGTCAAGATGACCTCTGAAGCATTTCCCAAATGGATGCAGTTCCCTACCTCTCCACTGTTTCCAGCCTGGTCAAAGCTACCATCATTTCCTGCCTGGAGTACTACAGAAGCCTCTTGCTTGGCCTTCATGTTTGTACTCTCTTCCCCTTTGGGTGTTTTCCATAGACCATCTGGAGTTATCTTTTTTAATGCAAGTTGATCACATCACCCTCCTGGTTAAAACTTAACCAAGGGCTGTCCATCAGATTTGCAATGGAATCCAGACCCCTCTCCCTTGTGGTTGCGCAGGGCTTGAGTCCTGCCAACCTCATCAGCACCTGCTCTTGCTTCTGTCACCTTCCCCACTGGATGCTTCAGACATGGTTGCCAACTTCAGATATGGTGTCTGTCCCTCAAGTTTGTTCCTACCTTAGATACCTGCATTAGCTTTCTCACCTGCAATGCATGCCACCAAAGACAAAGGATTTCTTTTAATTGTCTGAGTTCCACGTAAACATCATCTCTTTACACCCAATCTAAGGGTCCTCCCACAATTCTATCACATCTCCCTGTTATGCTTTCCACATATTATGTAAAAGGCAATCTAAAAGTCTTCAAGCATTTCTGTGCATGTATAGAAATGGCCAGTGATGAAAGGTTCGTTGTCCTATTTCCTTTTAGACTGGAACCCAGGGAAGGATTTGGGTTAATTTCCTTTTTTTTTTTTTAAACAAATGTGCTATGGGGCTTTTTTTCCAGCTGTTCTGGATCAAGAAAAGTTGTATTTCCAGATGCTTAGTAAATGCCCCTGTCCTGCATGCAGTGCTGCCCTGGCCTTCATGCCTCTAAACCTGGCATTATCTCCCTCTGACTCTGTCATCTTGCTTTTTGTACAATTTTGGCCTGCAGACTTCTAAGGGTAGGGGGCCAGGGAGAAGGACACTTGGTGCAGGTGACATACTCTGTATGTCCCTGTGTACCATTGTTTAGCTCCCAACTGGAGTGCTGTAAGATGATATTTCACTGTGAATTTAGTTTGCATTTCTCTGATAATTGGTAGTGTTGAGCATTTTTTCATATGTTTTTTGGCCACTTGTATGTATTCTTGTGAAGTGTGTCTCTTTATATCCTTTGTCTTCTTTTTGACGGGTTTTTTTTTCTCATTGAGTTGTTTAAATTTTTTATAGATTCTGGATATCAGTCCCTTGTCAGATGCATAGCTTGCAAATATTGTCTCTCATTCTGCAAGTTGTTTACTCTGTTGATTTCTTTTGCTGTGCAGAAACTTTTTGGTTTAATGAAATCGCATTTGTCGATTTTTGTTTTTGTTGTGTTTGCTTTTGGGGTCTTAGTCATAAATTATTTGTCTAAACCAATGTTCAGTAGAGTTTTCCCCAGCTTTTCTTCTAGAAATTTTATAATTTCAAGTTTTACATGTAAGTGTTCAATCCATCTTCAGTTAATTGTTGTATATGGTGAGAGACAGGGATCCAGTTTCGCTCTTCTGCCTATGGTTATCCAATTTTCCCAGCACTGTTAATTGAATAGGGAGTCCTTTCCCCAGTGTATATTTTTGTCATCTTTGTTGAAGATCAGTTGGTTGTATGTATGTAACTTTATTTCTGAGTTATTTATTCTGTTCCATTGATAGAAGTGAGATCATTTATGTTAGGTTGCCGGTCCCTGAACCATTTAGCTTGTAAGGACAGGCTAATTTCCTCTCTCTGCATTCAGATCCTTACTTCTTTACTGATAGTCCCTACTCTGCTCTGAGAGGCCCATCTCAACCTTCTCCTGGGGCTTCTTGCTTCTCTTGATAGTTTTCTTCCCTGCTTGCCGAATCTCCCCCATCTGCAGGACAGTGTGAGCTGGCTCTCTTCCTGCACTGCCTCAGCCCCCAAGCCTGACTGCCGGCAGAGTCTCACTCTGGCTGCACTGCCTCAGCTGTCTGCTGTTCTGGGCAGACACCTGCCCAGGTTGCCGCCAGCCTGCCCTGGCCCTTGAGAGGTTCTGGGACCCTAGTCCACAGTCTGCAGAATTGTCTAACCCTCTTTAATTCCAGGGGTTTCAGTCAGGTTTCTACTGGAAGCAGAGTCCCAGCTGTGTGTCAAGGAGGCTTCTTCTGCCACCTACCAGTGCCTGTTGGAAAGGCCAGATTCCCCCCAGGGACACCTGGGTAAATGCCAGAGCATCTTTTGGGTCAGTTCAACCTTTGATGAAGGCTGTTCATGGGGATAGGTCGGCCATGAATTACTATCAGAAAATGTTCCCTTTCTCTCCTCTTTTATTTGATGTAACTAGCAGGGTATCCCCCTTCCTCTGTGTGATTTAAAACAGAATACTAGCTTTTGTTAAAAAAAAATTCAGCCAGATTAAATTCAAAGGGGTTTAATTGAGCAATGAACAATTTGTGAATTGGGCAGCCCCTAGAATCATAGCAGATTCAGAGACTTCAGCACAGCCACGTGGTGGAAGATGATTTATGGACGGCAAAAGGAAAGTGACGTACAGAAAACAGAAGTGAGGTAAGAAACATTGGATTGGTCACAGCTTGGCATTTGCCTTATTTGAACATGATTTGAACAGTTGGCTACATTTGATTGGCCAAAATACAGTGATTGGCACAGATGTGGGCTGCAGTCGGTTTACACTTCCACTTGTTATGGTTTCCAATGTACAGAAAAACCTTTAGGCCAAACTTAAATATGTAAGGAGGCAGCTTTAGGCTAACCTTGATTTAACTTTTAGAATGGCATTGATCCGCTGCTTCTGAAATAAACATTCAGCCATCCTGACTAGCTCCTTTGGTGAAAAAAACAATTTCACATGCATGGCATGACCTAGCCACACAACCCCTTTCTGAACCACGTGGGGTGAAGTCCTGGGATTCTTGCTGATGGGCCCTGACAGGGTGGAGTTTCCTCTTTCGTTGGCCCCCAGGGGCCACTATGGCCACTCTGGGCAGCCCTTGGGAGCCAGAGACAAGAAAGCACTCGGAAGGCAAAGGGGTGACCAGAGCATTTCACTTCGTATCAAGATATGAGAGCAGAGTCTCATTTTTGTTTTCCAAAACAGACACTTTGTTTCCATACACCTGAATTATGGACCAGTTTATTCTCTTCTAAAATAGAGTAGATATTTGTTATCAGAGCTGCTAAGTCTTGGTTTGTAAAACTTGTAATTTTATTGGGGGCATTACATTTATTTTGTTGGGGGACCACTCTAGTCTGTTTTTCATTTTCTGTACTCCCTTTTCATACCTTCTCCAAATACACCATGCTGATTCATACCTCTGGGCCTGGGCTCATGCTGCTCCCAGTGTTGGAGCACTCCCTCCTCCTGCAGTGCCTCTCCCACTCAGCAGCCAAATTCCCACTCATCCTCTAAGACTCAGCACAGACATATCTTTTCAGGAAGTCCCCCTTCTCCCCTTTCCTCATTCCACCCCTCATCCAAGGCCCCTCCCCGCTGACCTGTTATATTCCGTGCATGTATCTCCCTTCTTCCTAACTGCATTTCAACCAAAAATTCAGTTGTGTCTCTCCTAGAAAGTAAGCTTTTTGGGAATAGTGAATTTCAGACATGGCTACATTCCTCCCAGCCATCACAAAGTCTGACACGACACTGATGCTTAAATTGGAGTTGTTAGGCCAGGCGCGGTGGCTCACGCCTGCAATCCCAGCACTTTGGGTGGCCGAGGTGGGTGGAACTCAAGGTCAGGAGATCGAGACCATCCTGGCCAACATGGTGAAACCCCGTCTCTACTAAAAATACAAAAAAAAAAAAGAAAAAGAAAAAGAAAAAATTAGCCAGGTGTGGTGGCATGCGCCTGTAATCCCAGCTGAGGCAGGAGAATCACTTGAACCCAGGAAGCGGAGGTTGCAGTGAGCCGAGATCGTGCCACTGCACTCCAGTCTGGGCGACAGAGTGAGACTCTGTCTCAAAAAAAAAAAAAAAAGACATATATACATATATATATGCGCGTTGGTTACCCCTGCACTGACTCTTTTACATTATCTTATTCTAGGTACTTTCCTTTCTTGAGAAGAAAACTACATGTCCTTGGGCACACCTGCGTGATCTTTTCTTACTTTTATAGTGGCTAATGTGCAGGGTTGTTAAACGCATTATTTAGTTTTGAGCTCTTTGTGCCCTATTGTCTGTATCAGTAGTGAAACTTTTTGACCTCACACCCTTATGTAATATTTTTTCTTCTTTTTGGAGACAGGGTTTTGCTCTGTTGTCCAGGCTGGAGTGCAGTGGTATGATCATCATAATCATAGTTCACGGCAACTTCAAAGTTTTGAGCTCAAGTAATCTTCCCATCTCAGTCTCCTAAGTAGCCAGGACTACAGGCCTGCACCACCACACCTGGCTAATAAATTTTTTATAGAGGTGGGGTCTCACCATGTTGCCCAAGCTGGTCTTAAACTCCTGGCCTCAAGTGATCCTCCTACCTCCTACCATCCCAGAGGGTTAGGATTACAGATGTGAGCTACCTAAACTCACAGGTGTGAGCCTGGCCTAAACTCATCATTGCAATAACTACCACGACCTTGACTTCATCCTTGTTGTATCAAAATAAAAAGAAGAAGGTTTCAAAACCACACAGAGTAGAAAATTTGGAGAATATAGAACACCAATATAGAAAGCTAGAAAATAAAAACCACCTGCAATCGCACCACCCAGATTTAGACCCTATTAGTTTTTGGTTAGCTCTTTACAATTTGCCTTTTTCTCCCTATTCAGCAACATTTTAATCATGTAGCCTCCAACTTACTGGGGCTTGGGGCTCAGTGCCTCAGTTTTCCTGTTTAGAAAATAGCATATTAATAGTTATGTGCTAACAAAATTACCCATCTGCTTTCATGTGGTTATTTCATCCCTGTGGCCAGGAAAGCTGCATTTTTATCCATCCTAGGCAGTGAGGAGAAGAGAGCTGGGTGATAGGCACAGAGCCATGCTGCAGGCTGATGGGGGCTCAGGGCTCCTCATTCTTAACCAAAGTGGGTGCCAGAGAAAAATTTCACCTCGATGAGAGGAGGCACAGACACCAGGCTGCCAGGGCCATGCCCCACAGATCAGATCCATCCAGGACCTTTCGGAGAACTGTGCTTGTGCTTCTGTGACACAAAGTAGAATAGCAAACAATCCAAGAGAGTTTACTCTTGTTTTCGAGTCAATCACAAATTTTGACAAAACTTCCTCTTTCTCACAGTGTGTCTGTCCTGTTCACCTTCAATTCAGAGAACTGTCCTGACCTTTCTTAATGAAATGTGACCCTCCTCTTGTTCAGCAAATAATAAACTCAATCTCTGCTTTAGACTGTTTTTATCCTTTGTGTTATCCCTGGCATAGGTCTCATTTCAGTCATCCCTGTGGCCAGTGAGTAGTTACTACCTTTCCAGGTGCTATCACCGAACTCCGCCTTCATGTCTGTTCATCGGGAGAGGTTCTCCCAAACCTCCTGGGGGGAAGTTGAGCTCTGCTTTCTTCGCCAAGTTGCTCAGAGGGTGTCCACTCAAAAATGATGGGCCTCATTGGGTTGGTGCTCATCCACGTGCTTTTCTAGTTGGGACTTTTTCTTGGCTTAAATTGTTTGTGGATAGTTTGCATGGGCAGAGGAATTTGTTTCTGTTAATGTGATGCTGATGGTAGGGCAATGGTTCCAACTCTTGTCTTTCAGCCAGATACCTTCATTTCCCAAACTGTTCTGGATTTGGCCTTATTTTGGAAATCAGAGCCTGGTCTGACTAACTAGAAATATCAGAACTTCTGGGTAAGGTTGCCAAACATTCACTATTTGGAGGGAACAGCTCTGGACTTGGGCCCGCCACTGTCCTTCCATGCCCCAATCTGGATGGAATCGTTTGGCACTCTACCCCTCTCCATCCTTACCTCCTCATTCTTCCCTCATGGTTGAAAAAAGCTTTTTCCTGACTATTAGGCAGGATTTCAAGTCAACACTGAAAAGCCCTGATTTCCTTGATTGTGGGGAAGCTCCTTTCTGAGCATCTCAGTCTAACATAGTTAGAGTACCTCTCCCAGGACCCTTTAGCCAATCAATGTGCTCTCCTGAAAGCCTTCTGTGACAGCAAGTGCAGCCATTCCATTTTCTCTTACATAGTTGGAATCAGTGCCTACTGAATCCTATCTGCAAATGTATAGAAGCAATATGCAAAAATTTGTGACAAAAATTGGCAAAGGGAGACCTTTTGCAGGTGAAAGACAGCTAACACCTAGTGGCTAGCAGAGGGCTGTGTGGGGGTGGGGGCACAGGTAAGAGCTGAAGCAGAGGTGTGGAGGGATTGGGTGGTGTCTTCAGCACTGATGGAAGATGTTGGGGTCTTCCTCCTTCTCTGCTTTCCAAAGTAGGAGTAGCCATTGAAGCAGTAGAGAGACTCAGGGGCTCTTTGGTTTTTTTCTACCATGGAGGTTTCTTCAGAGCTGGAGTGAGGGTGGAATTTATTAGCCTCCCTACAGGCTGTTCCAGGTGCCCCCACATCTGGTGCTGAGAATGAGTGTGAGAGGGCACCCAGGACCTCCGACCTCCTTATGCCATTACATTCACATCAAACTGTGCCACGTTATCATTTACTTCCAATTAAAATATTTTAATTTTCCTCCTGGGAGGTTAAGTTTTGTGGGTTTTACTTTTCTACAATCCCTCCCTATCATAAAACCATTTAAACTTTAAGTCTTAACATTGGAAGGTTCTCTAGTGATCATCTGCTCCAATCTCTTCATTTTATGCATTGGAGACCAAGACATGAAGAAATGGCTCATCCCAGTTCAGAGACCTAGACTCTAAATCACTCATACCACCTCTCTGAGTGACACTACTCATTGGATAACAGAACTTCAGCAATCTAGGTGCCACTTGAGATATCATGGGAGCAGAAAATACTTGTGCTCTTTTAAAGGGTAAAGAGTTATTTTGTAAATACATACCCTGTCATTTCTAGGAAATTGTGTGGGCTTAGGGACCTCACTGGCTCCTAATTAGGTGTTTTTTAAAAAGCCAGGCCATTGGGCAGGACTCAGTGGTTGCTCTTAGACTTGTAAATAACTTTTAGGCTGTCCCAAACTTTCCAGTTTTGTGATTATTCTACCCTCTGTTCATAGGTAATGATGCTATTGGAAGTTATGGGGAAGAAGAGAAAGAAGGGAATTAGCAGGATGGGGTGTACGGGAATAGAGATAAACGTTTATTGAGCACTAACTCTATTCTTGACATTGTGGTTAGTGTGTTACCCAATATTATCCCCATTTTACCCATTGAGGAAATCAAGGTTTAGAAACATTGAGTAATTTGCTCAAAGTCTCACAGCTAGCAAGTAAGAAGTCTGAGATTTCAAACTTCGGGCTTTCTGATTTCAGGGCCCAAGCTTGTCACCATTATACTCATGGGGGCAATGGTAGAGCCAGATTTCCAGGAAACTCCTCTTACATCCCACTGTCTGGGTAACTGGACTTGATGGGATTTTTGGCATCACAGTGGAAGAAAGGCCAGGAAAGAAGGACGGCAGTTTCCTTTGTTGGTCAGAACTTGCCTCATCTTGCCTACATCTTCTTGGGGCTGACAGATAGGAAGCCTTCCAGCAGGTGTGGCCTAAGGGTGTTGGGGCTTTACTTTTGTGCTGGTGCAGGCAGTTTCCAGGCTCAGATAAACACTCAGCTGTTTATTTATCCATCCAGCAAGCATTTCTTAAGACACCTCCTCAGTCAGTTCTTGAGCCAATAAGCAAGCATGGTCCCTGACCCAATAAATCTAGCTCAGATTCAGAGATGCATAACCTGATTCCAGCAAAGCTTTTTGTGGATTATCTGGGGCAGTGTTTGTAACCTTTATCTTTCCCACTTCTCAGCTGTCGCTTTACCAACAGGAGCCTCTACCTTTGCGGAGTTGGGAAAAGACAAACAGGTGGGCTGCTGGGCGCTTGGGCTGAAGCTGTGGGGAAGGATATGGAAACCAAAGCCTAACAAGAGATCTTATGAAAATCTGCTCTTTCCTCTCTCCCTGCAGTTCTGTTTCCTTAAGCTAGGCTTACAATCGAAGGGCCAGCTGTTCACTTTACAATCTATCCCAGCATCCTCAGCTCCAATAACTGCCAGTTGATGCTTGCCTGTCCCAGTGGAATTAATGGAAGCTGTCAACAGCCCGCCCCCGACCTCACTGGATATAACTGTGTCCTCGGCAGACGTGAGTTCCTCCTGCTTCTGAGACAGCCTCCTTCCTCTCTTAGGAAACCCTCTCATGGGCCATTTATTCGCGTCAGTGTCAACTTAAAAGCAAGAGGCAAGGCACAAAATCTAACTTAATTTACTTAAGCCAGAGTGAGGACAGCTGCCTGGAAGACCCTTGAGAGGGGGTGATTCAGAGGATGTCAGACCTGGGCATCTGGGGCTCATTGCAATTGCACCAATTGTACTCACTTTTGTTATATTTCCAAAAGACTCAATGAGCTTCTTAGGGGGCTCAGCACTGATCTCAGGTGGAAGGAATGGGGATGGATGGGAGGGGCTGGGATGGGGGGAATAGGGAGCAGGGAGTGGGTCCCTGTTTCCTTTCCCTAGGCTCTCTGTCACTTTTTTTCTCAGTAAGTGGGAGATTCATGTGCTCTATACCTCCACAGTCTGCTGTGAACCTGTTGCTGGCATGAATCTGTCCGCTGGAGTTTGTTCGGTTGGGGGCCATGAGACAGTTGTAAAGGGAGCAACCATTGTGAAATGGCATCTTTCAGAATGCAGGAGTGAGGTGCCGTCACAAACCACGGCTTCTGTGGACAGGGTGTCTAGGGGTGGCTTGGGAAGAAGGCCCAGGGATAGAAGGAGAGAACTGAGGCCCTCTTTCAGCTCAACTTCAGCCTGGAGAATTTAGATCATTGCTTTAGCTCTAAATCACCACTTCCACACTTGGATGATTTCAAGGGACCTTAAGTTCCCACTTGCCACAGGCTTTGGGACATGGAGCCTGCTTTCTAAAATAAATATTTTTGAGTTTTTTAAGATGTAAGTTCAAACCTGCTACTGAAAAGGATTGGTTAAAAGAGACAACTCCCACTCCACTGCCGTGGCTTTCCATCAGGGCCATGCTTGGCAGAACCTGGGAGTTGAAAGGGAAGAGATGATGATCCATGTCTTGAGTTCCTGCAGACTGGAAGCAAGTGGAGCTGGGCTTGGGGAGCAGAAG
The DNA here is from genome assembly GCF_000001405.40 of Homo sapiens. Classification (NCBI taxonomy): domain Eukaryota; kingdom Metazoa; phylum Chordata; class Mammalia; order Primates; family Hominidae; genus Homo; species Homo sapiens. The sequence continues at coordinate 30,295,627 of NC_000012.12, read as the reverse complement.
GAACTGTTCTGCTTCATGGAGAAGCAAGTGGTAGTGACGGAAGTACCTGTTTCAGTGACTGCACTTTGAAATTGGATGGAGACCCAAATCCTTAATTCAGGGCTTCCTTCTGGGCTGGTGCAATCTGTAATTTTGGCAGGAATGAGAAGGGCAGGCTGGAGTGAAAAAAAGTCAAAAGTGGGAGTGTAGTGGCTCACCCTGCTTCCAGCCCTCCCTGACCTGTCGTTTGCAGACCCCTACACATTTAGAGCCTGTGTATCAGTCAGGATCTCTCAGGACCACAGAGACCCTCTCACAGCGTTACCTTCAGCAGTTGGGATTTATCGTAAGGATATTTCTGAAACTAGGAGACCAACAAACCTCAGGGTTCCATAAACACTGAGGGCAGATTGGCCTCCAGAGCCTGGAGTAGCACTCCGGGTGTCCAGTGGTTCTGGGGATCTGGTCATTTCGCCAGCTCCAAATATTCACAGTGACACACCACTGGTTTGTAGACAGACCCAGCTTCTTCAGGTAGATGTTGTGGTCCTTGTGCCTTTTATGGTTGACCTTGTTCATACCTTCCTTATTTTTCAGAAGGAGGAGCATTGTTCATGTTCACCCTCCTATTGTGCCAGTGGTGCAGTAAGTTTTGAAGGTCTCGTAGCCAATTCCAGATTTTTTTTTTCTTTTCGACAACCTTAAAAAGTGGTGCTTTTTCTTTCCAGGGCTTTGATCCAGAGGCTTTGACAAGGCTACTGCTCATCCAACTCAGCCAGAAAGTAGGGTAAACTGAGCGCTAATATCTGAGACAACTTTTTCAGGGTGGTATCGAATGAAGACTGGATAGGTTCCAGAGAATCATTCTTCACATACTAAAGAGCTGAAAACAGAAGGAGCTCAACAACTCAGACTCCAGATCTTTCAGACAATGGCTCACAAGATTTCCCTTGCTTCTTGGGTTCCTCTCTAGCTCGCCATCCACTGGTGATCTTGTTGATGTATCTGTTTGGTTACTTCCTGACTCCCCACCGCCCCATATCCGTGGCCAGAAGAAAGCTCAGGAGCAAAGCTCAGGAGTACTGTCTGCCTTGTTTGTCACCAGTGTGACTAGCACAGTGTGTGACACAGCAGGCGAACAAAATGAACCAGTTGTGGAATAAATCTCTCACCTGCTTTCAACTCACCCCTAAGATCCCTGTCTATGAGCACTTTACCCTACTCTAGCAGGTGGTTTGGTGCCCTGTCCAGACCTGAGGTTTCAGATTCCTTCCCTTTGTTTATTTTTTTGTTTTTGTTTTTGTTTTTTTTTACATTGGTGTTTCTTTCTTTCTGGGTTTTTGTTTTCTTTCTTCTGTATACTTTAAGTTCTAGGGTACATGTGCACAACGTGCAGGTTTTTTACATAGGTATACGTGTGCCATGTTGGTGTGCTGCACCCATTAACTCATCATTTACATTAGGTATTTCTCCTAAGGCTATTCGTCCCTCCTTCTCCTACCCACATGACAGGCCCTGGAGTGTGATGTTCCCCACCCCGTGTCCAAGTGTTCTCATTGCTCAACTCCCACCTATGAGTAAGAACATGCCATGTTTGGTTTTCTGTCCTTGCGATAGTTTGCTCAGAATGATGGTTTCCAGCTTCATCCATGTACCTACAAACGACATGAACTCATCCTTTTTTATGGCTGCATAGTATTCTGTGGTGTATATGTGCCACATTTTCTTAATCCAGTCTATCACTGATGGACATTTGGGTTGGTTCCAAGTCTTTGCTATTGTGAATAGGGCTGCAATAAACATACATATGCATGTGTCTTTATAGTAGCATGATTTATAATCTTTTGGGTATATACTCAGTAATGAGATTGCTGGGTCAAATGGTATTTCTAGTTCTAGATCCCTGAGGAATCGGCACACTGACTTCCACAATGGTTGAACTAGTTTACAGTCCCACCAACAGTGTAAAAGTGTGCCTATTTCTCCACATTGTCTCCAGCACCTGTTGTTTCCTGACTTTTTAATAATCACCATTCTAACTGGTGTGAGATGGTATCTCATTGTGGTTTTGATTTGCATTTCTCTGATGACCAGTGATGATGAGCATTTTTTCATGTGTCTGTTGGCTGCATAAATGTCTTCTTTTGAGAAGTGTCTGTTCATATTCTTTTCCCACTTTCTGATGGGGTTGTTTTATTTTTTCTTGTAAATTGTTTAAGTTCTTTGTAGATTCTGGATATTAGCCCTTTGTCAGATGGGTAGATTGCAAAAATTTTCTCCCATTCTGTAGGTTGCCTGTTCACTCTGATGGTAGTTTCTTTTGCTGTGCAGAAGCTCTTTAGTTTAATTAGATCCCATTTGTCAATGTTGGCTTTTGTTGCCATTGCTTTTGGTGTTTTAGACATGAAGTCCTTGCCCGTGCCTATGTCCTGAATGGTATAGCTTAGGTTTTCTTGTAGGGTTTTTATGGTTTTAGGTCTAACATTTAAGCCTTTAATCCATCTTGAATTAGTTTTTGTATGAGGTGTAAGGAAGGGATCCAGTTTTAGCTTTCTACATATGGCTAGCCAGTTTTCCCAGCACCATTTATTAAACAGGGAATCCTTTCCCCATTTCTTGTTTTTGTCAGGTTTGTCAAAGATCAGATGGTTGTAGATGTGTCGTATTATTTCTGAGGGCTCTGTTCTGTTCCATTGGTCTATATCTCTGTTTTGGTACCAGTACCATGCTGTTTTGGTTACTGTAGCCTTGTAGTATAGTTTGAAGTCAGGTAGCGTGATGCCTCCAGCTTTGTTCTTTTTGCTTAGGATTGTCTTGGCAACGCGGGCTCTTTTTTGGTTCCATATGAACTTTAAAGTAGTTTCTTCCAATTCTGTGAAGAAAGTAATTGGTCGCTTGATGGGGATGGCATTGAATTTATGAATTACCTTGGGCAGTATGGCCATTTTCATGATATTGATTCTTCCTATCCATAAGCATGGAATGTTCTTCCATTTGCTTGTGTCCTCTTTTATTTCATTGAGCAGTGGTTTGTAGTTCTCCTTGAAGAGGTCCTTCACATCCCTTGTAAGTTGGATTTCTAGGTATTTTATTCTCTTTGAAGCAATTGTGAATGGGAGTTCACTCATGATTTGGCTCTCTCTTTGCCTGTTATTGGTGTGTAGGAATGTTTGTGATTTTTGCACATTGATTTTGTATCCTGAGACTTTGCTGAAGTTGCTTATCAGCTTAAGGAGATTTCGGGCTGAGACGATGGGGTTTTCTAAATATACAATCATGTCATCTGCAAACAGGGACAATTTGACTTCCTCTTTTCCTAATTGAATACCCTTTATTTCCTTCTCCTGCATGATTGCCCTGGCCAGAACTTCCAACACTATGTTGAATAGGAGTGGTGAGAGAGGGCATCCCTGTCTTGTGCCAGTTTTCAAAGGGAATGCTTCCAGTTTTTGCCCATTCAGTATGATATTGGCTGTGGGTTTGTCATAGATAGCTCTTATTATTTTGAGATATGTCCCATCAATACCTAATTTATTGAGAGTTTTTAGCATGAAGCGTTGTTGAATTTTGTCAAAGGCCTTTTCTGCATCTATTGAGATAATCATGTGGTTTTTGTCTTTGGTTCTGTTTATATGCTGGATTATGTTTATTGATTTGCATATGTTGACCCAGCCTTGCATCTCAGGGATGAAGCCCACTTGATCATGGTGGATAAGCTTCTTGATGTGCTGCTGGATTCGGTTTGCCAGTATTTCATTGAGGATTTTTGCATCGATATTCATCAGGGATATTGGTCTAAAATTCTCTTTTTTGGTTATGTCTCTGCCAGACTTTGGTATCAGGATGATGCTAGCCTCATAAAATGAGTTAGGGAGGATTCCCTCTTTTTCTATTGATTGGAATAGTTTCAGAAGGAATGGTACCAGCTCCTCCCTGTACCTCTGGTAGAATTCGGTGCGAATCTGTCTGGTCCTGGACTTTTTTTGGTTAGTAGGCGATTAGTTATTGCCTCAATTTCAGAGCCTATTATTGGTCTATTCAGGAATTCAACTACTTCCTGGTTTAGTCTTGGGAGTGTGTATGTGTCTAGGAATTTATCCATTTCTTCTAGATTTTCTTTCTTTTATTTATTTATTTTTTATTATTTGCGTAGAGGTGTTTATAGTATTCTCTGATGGTAGTTTGTATTTCTGTGGGATTGGTCGTGATATCCCCTTTATCATTTTTTATTGTGTCTATTTGATTCTTCTCTCTTTCCTTCTTTATTAATCTTGCTAGAGGTCTATCAATTTTGTTGATCTTTTCAAAAAACCAGCTCCTGGATTCATTGATTTTTTGTGTCTCTATCTTCTTCAGTTCTGCTCTAATCTTAGTTATTTCTTGCCTTCTGCTAGCTTTTGA